>NC_000010.11:105143095-105446125 GCF_000001405.40 Homo sapiens | reverse complement strand
GATTGTTTTCTGATAGGTAGAAAAAAATAGATCCAAGAAACAGGTATAAATAGAAGTGGATCCACTTAGCATTGTTCTCAGTGACTGAGTTTCGGAATTTGTGCTTCTTTTCCCTGTTACTAAAGGATCTGTTGGTCTAGATGTCTGGTCCCCGGAAAGGGTACAATTCCATCAGGTGGCACAGTAAGAGTTCCATCGACTCTTAAGTTGTGACTCTTACCGTTACTTTGAGTTTCTCATGCCAAGAAATTAGCAAGGAAAAAAGGAGTTAGTATTCTGGTGGTGGTAACTGACCCCGGTCATCAGTAGGAGGTAGGAGCTGCTACTACATAGTAAGGACAGAGAATATGCTTGGCATTACTGGTTCTCCGGGATGTCTCTTGAGAGGCTGCAATGTGCATTTTTAATAGAAAATGTGCAATTAGAGCAGCCAAATATTGATAAGGACATGATAGACAAAAATTAAGACCCCCTTTAGAATGGAAGTTTTGTTCACCTCTAGGCAAGCCGTCTATACTAGCAGAGGTGCTAGCTGAGGGTGAAGGGTATATAGAATGGTTGGTGTAAGAGAAGGATGATAAAAATAAGTTTGATCTAGACATCTACTGCAGCAGGAGAGACTGTAGTTGTTCCTATGCACCTTGCATTGATATAATTCTCTTCCTGAACATATCCTTGTCCATCCATATGCTACACTCATAACCCTATAGTCACTTCTGTTTACCACACTTTAAAATATTTGGTAAGTGCTCTTCAGTAATGTAGCTCTATCAGTAAACATTAGGTTTATGAGACTTATCTTTTTTATATTGGCATCTCTAGCTTATTTGTCTTAGGAGTTATATAATATTTTCAAATGTACATACACTGGAATACACATCCACTCTCAATATTTCCAATTTAAAAAAATAATTACAAACAATAATGCTCTAAGTTTCTTACAGGTATTCTTTGGCATAAGTGTAAGATTTTTCACTACAGAATATATTCAAAATTGGAATTTATGGATATTTTGCTATACACATCTTTAAGTTTTTGGATACTACCAAAAATGTTCCCAAAGTAGTTGTACCATTTGATATTTTCATGAGCTGTGTATAATAGCTTACGTTGGTCCTCCTCATCATTTGCATTTGATATTATCAGATTTAAAATTTTTGCCAGTCCTCTGGAGGCAAAAAGTCTTATCCCTGAGGATTTAATTTGCATTTTCTGGATAACTAGGGAAATATTTTTATGTATTTATTGTGTTAAGATTTTTGTGAAATGAATATTAATATTTTCTAGTGATATGTATTAAAAACACCTTTACACAATCAGTGGCCTGTTTTTTAACTTATTTTATAATTTTTTGGTGCAAATAAAATATCATTTTAATGTATAAACAATATCAATCCTTTCCTTGTAATTTATGCTTTGTGTGTGTTGTGAAAACAATTTTTCATCTAAGGATATGAAGGCACAAATTGCCAATATCAGTAATAAAACAGAGGATATTTAGACCTGCAGCCATCAAGGGAATAAAGGGGATAAGAGATAATGAATGAATACTACAAACAACTCTATAGAAAATTTTTCCACCTTAGACTAAATGAAACAATTCCTGGAAAAGTACAAAATACCACAACTCATCTAATATGAAATTTAAAAATTGGATAGCCCTATAACTATTAAGGAAATTTAACTCAACCCTCTCGAGAAATAAATCTCCAGGCCCAGATGCTTTCACTGGATAATTGTACCAAACATTTAAAGAAGAATTAATACTTACTCATATAGAATTTAGCAATATGTAATAATAATTATCTACCATGATCAATTTGGGTTTATTCTAGTGATTCAAGGCTGGCTTGATATTTGAAAACCATCACTGCAATCTACCATATTAAGAGGCTACAGAAAGAAAACCCCATGATTGTGTCAATGAATACAGAAAAGGCATCTGACAAAATTCAGCATATATTCACAATAAAAACTCAGAAAACTAGGAATAGAGAGGAGCTTTTTTGACTTGATAAAGGATATCTGTAAAAAGTTGACACCTACAGACTTTTTACCCCCAAAGATTGTGGAAAAAAAAAAGATGCCCAATATTCAACATAGTACTTGAATTTCTAGTCAGTATAATAAGGCAGGAAAAGGATAAGGATATGACAAGATTGTCTATACAGAAAATCCTCAGGAATCTACAAAAATAAAACTTCTAGTATTATAGATGGTCACAGAATATGAGATCAACACAAGCCAATATAATCACAGGATATGAGATCAATATATACAACTCAAGTTTATTTCTATATACTAGCAATGAACAATTTATTGGTTCCTATAAACTGAAATTTAAGACACATTACCACTTACTATTAATCAAAAATAAAATACTTGGATATAAGTCTAACAAAGACATGTAGTACTTGTATGGTAAAAACTAAAAATATTGATGAAAGAAATTAAAAAAACTAAATAAATGGAGACATGTATCATGCTTATGGGCTAAAAGACTCAAAAAAGTCAAAATGTATATTCTCCCCAAACCGACATGCAGGTTTAAAATAATTTATATCAAAATATAAATAATGGCCAGGCACAGTGGCTCACTCCTGTAATCTCAGCACTTTGGGAGGCCGAAGCGTTTGTATCATCTGAGGTCAGAAGTTCCAGACCAGCCTGGCCAACATGGTGAAACCCTGTCTCTACTAAAAATACAAAAATTAGCCAGGTGTGGTTGCACGCGCCTGTAGTCCCAGCTACTAGGGAGGCTGAGACAGGAGAATCGCTTGAACCTGGGAGGCAGAGGTTGCAGTGAGCCGAGATCATGTCACTGCATTCCAGCCTGGGTGATAGAGTGAGACTCCATCTCAAAATAACAACAATAATACTAATAATAATAATTGTGTAGATATAACAACATTATTGTAAATTACACATGGAAAGGGGACAAAGGGACTAGAACAGCCTAAAACAATTCTGGGGGAAAATGAATAAAATGGGGGACATCCTCTACTTGATTTCAGTACTTAGCATATAGCTATAGTAATCAAGACTTCACGGAATTTGTGGAGAAATTGATACATAGATCATTAAACAAAACAGAGAACCCAGAATTAGTGCCATACAAGTGTGACCACCTGATATTTGACAATGGCATACAGTAATTCATTGAAGGAAGGATAGTCTTTTCAAAAAAATAAATGGTGTTGCAGCAATTGGATATCCATAACCAACAATAATAATAATAATAATAATAAATCTTCAACCTAAACCTCACACCTTATATAAAATTAAAATGTATCATGGATTTAAATAGGAAATGCAAAAATATACCATTTTTAGAACCTCATATAGGAGAAAATCTTTGGAAGCTAGATTTGGTGAAGAATTCTTAAATATAACACCAAAAGTACAATCTGTAAAATAAATAAATAATTGGCAAGTTGAACTAAATTTTAAAAATTAAAAAATTTGTTTCTGTGAAAGAGGATTAAAAGACAAGTTACAGATTAGAAGGAAATATTTGAAAATAACATAACTGACAATGAATTGATACCATAATACATAAAGTACTTTCAAAACTCAACATTAAAATGCAAATAATTCAATTAGAAATTATGAGGAAAAACATGAAGAAACATTTCACTAAAGAAGATATATGGATGATAAATAGGCACATAAATTTTTTATACCACTAGCTATGCAGTAAATGCAAATAAGAATATGATAAACTATCACTACATACCTATTAGCATAGTTCCTATAAAATGACAATACCAAATGTTGATGATGATATGGAGAAACTGGATCTTTTCTACATTGCTGGTGGGAATTTAAAATGGTACAGCTACTCTGGAAAATAGTTTGGCAGTTTCTTTAAAAAACATACAACTGAACGTACTCTTACCATGTGACCCAGTAATCACATTTCTGGGCATTTTATTCCAGATAGATGAAGATGTATGTCCATATAAAATCTTGTACATGATTGTTGATAGTAAATTTATCTACAAAGCCCCAAACTTAAACTAATGAAAATGGCCCCGATGAGGTAGTTAAATAAACTGTGATTCGTGCAGTGTTTAACACTACATGAATAGTGTTAGCATGTAACACTACTCAACAACAAAAAGGAATGAACATTTCATACACACAACTTGTATGAATTTTAAAGGCAATATAGAGTCTTTTAAAAATCTCATCTAAAAAAGAAGGTCACATTCTATTCCATTCCATTTACATAAGATTTCCCAAATGACAAAATTATAGAGATGGAAAACAGATTGGTGTGGTTGCCAGTATTTAGGGCAACCTAACCAAAAAAACTGACTATAAAGAAGTAGTACGAGGGAGATCTTTGTGGTCATGCAATAATGATGGACTGACTTTCTGTGACATACACAGCAGTGAATGTAGGGCTTTACTAAAGGGAAAATAAAGATAGAGAGAGAGAGGGGGAATTATTGTCTCATTAAGCAAATGATAATTGCAATTATTCACCAATAATTACAAATCACAAACAAGGATTGCAAAGTCAATTGGGAAACAATTTGGCTATAAATACTCATATTAAGCACCCTAATAAAATCCACTTTGCTTTAGAAACTTCCACTCCTGTTTTCGTCAAGTGTTTTCTGGAAGTGCAAATTTTGATGAATTATTCATGTCAACTTGCAACTCAGAGAAGGGAAGAAAGCAATGTACTATAATAAGATCTTGATGGCTGCAAGATCTTCTGATGGTAATAATATCACCTACGATTCAATTGCACAGAGTTTTCAGGTCTTCCTAACCCAAAATAATTATTTCATGCGATATTCACAATACCATGTAATATTAAGCAAGGCAAATATTAGATTACAAAATTTACAGCTAAGGAAAATGTAGTATATACAAAGTTATAATGACAGCCCCAAGGTCTTACAGTTGGTCACTGGAGTAGAATCCGGGTCTGCTTATTTCCAATGATGAGACTTTTTTGTTCTCTAAATCACATTGCCTCCACTATTTATTTCAATGCTTTTAGTTTCATATTGAAAATTGAACTAAAATCACAACAGAATTTATTTGTTCCTATAAACAGTAAGTACAAATGTCGGTAGGTATGATGGTTTGATCTAGTGGTTCAGCATATCAACAAGAACTTTATTTCTTTCTAACTCTTCACTTTCTACGGTGCCTTCTTTTTGTGCTAAGAACTGCTCATTCGATGTCATAGCATAAGTATCAATAGCTTCCAGGAGAGAAAGAGAGGCAGGGAGAGAGGAAAGAAAAATAAGAAGGAGAGAGAGACTATCACAAACACAAGTCCTAGACTTAGGTCTGATGAGCCACTGTAGTTTAAGTTGCATTTTCATATCCAATCACTGTGACTAAAGACATATGATGCACTGATTAGATTCAAGCAATGTTAATGACCATTTCTTTACCAATCCCCATGACAAAGCCCTAATCAATGTTGAATGCATTAGAGCCCAGTTCTGGAACCAGAGCAGAGTAAATCCTACCTAAACTCAACCAAGTAGGTGCTATGCAATGATGTGGAGTGATCATTCCCCAAAGAAAAATCCCAGTGAAAATAGAAAATGAAGTATGAAATGGGGAAAAGATAGTTTCTCCAATAAATGATATTGGGAAAATTGAATGTTGAGATGTAAAAGTATGAAATGGGACACTTACCTCACATCATATACAAAAATCAACTCAAAATAGATCAAAGGCTTAAACCTAAAACCTGAAACAATAAAACTCTCAAAGGAAAACATAGGGGAAAAGCTTCTAAACATTGGATTGGGCAAAATTTTCTTGAAGTCTATACTAAAAGCACAGGCAACAAAAACAGAAATGGACAACTGAAACTATATCAGACTAAAAAGTTTCTGCACAGTGAAAAAACATCAACAAAATGAAAAGGCAACCTATGGAATAGAAGAAAATATTTGCAAACTATATATCTGATAAGAGGTTCATATCCAAAATACTTAAGGAACTCCTACAACTTAGTAACAAGAAAAAAATAACCTGATTAATAAACAGGTAAAGGACATGAGTAGACATTTCTCAAAAAAAAAAGACATACAATTGGCCATTAGGCATAAGAAAAGATGTTCGACATCACTAATCATCAGGAAAATGCAAACCAAAACTACGATGAGATACTACCTCACACCTACAAAAATTAATATTTTCAAAAAAAAAAGAAAGAAAGGCACGTATTGGTAAGGAGGTACAAAAAAGTAACCCTTTTACACTATTAGTGGGAATGTAAGTTAATGCAATCACCATGAAAATAAATATGGAAGTTATTCAAAAAATAAAAACTTTATTATTTGATCTAGCAATCTCACATCTGGGTATAAATCCAAAATAATTGAAATCTCAAAGAAAAAATGATACTCTCATGTTTATTGGAGCGTTATACCCAATAGCCAAGATATGTCAACAATCTAAGTTTTCATCTACGGATAAATAAAGAAATGTGGTATTATGTACAATGGAATATTTTTCAGCCTTAAAAATAAAGACATCCTGTCATTTGTGACAATGTAGATGAGTCTGGAGGACATTAGGCTAACAAGCCAGGCACAGAAAGACAAATACTGTCTGATCTCACTTACATGTGTAATTTAAAATAGTCAAACTCATAGAAGCAGAGAGTAGAGTAGTAGTTGCCAGGGGCTGGATGAAGGGGGAAATGGAGAGATGTTGGTCAAAGGGTATACAATTTCAGTATGCAAGATGCATAAATTCTGGAGATCTAATATGAGTACAGTTAATGATATTCTTTTGTGTACTTAAAATTTGCTAAGATAGTAGATCTTAAATGTTCTCACCAAAAAAAGAGAAAGAAAATGGTAACTATGTGTGAGGCGATAGATTTGATTGTGATGAACAATTCAGAATATAGGTATAGATAGACATACATCTCAAAACACGAGGTTGTACACCTTAAATATATACAATTTTTATTTATCAATTGTACCCCAATGATGTTGGAGAAATAAAATGGAGTTGAGTAGAAATGAGTGTTGGAAAGGTCACAAATGAATGTCCATTCTACCTCCAAATGTGTCACTCATTAAACAACAACAAGCAGAACTTGGAGGTAGCTATACATGAATCCAGAACATGAAAGATACAGTCTACAGCTAGGAATGATAAGGTTATAAACATATATTTGTTGTCATATAAGCAATTTGAGATGGGCTAAAGATTGGGAGTCCAGGTAAAAAGTAGTTTGAAATAAACTACTTCTTGCAGTTTGAAATAAGCTATGAGGTCAGTGAATCTTTGGTGATCTTTCGTATTATACCTACACCCATCTCCTCATTATTTTGTCCCATTTTGATAGATTTTTCCTAATATTAGGTAGTACTGGTATTTAGCCTGCTAGCTAACTATTGATCCTATCCAAATCCATCTGGCTGCAACTCTAGCTGTGTGACCTTATAAAAATTATTCGATTTCCCTGGGCTTCAATTTCCTCTTTTAAAAATTTACTGGTTTCATAAAATTAGTTATAAAACACTTCATAATCTCTCTAAAGTCCCTTCCAGTATTTATTTATTTATTTATTCATTCATTCTTTTATTTTTGAGACAGAGTCTCGCTCCATCACCCAGGTTTGAGTGCAGTGGCACAATGACTGCTCACTGCAGCCTTGATCTCCTGGGCTCAAGTAATCCTCCCGCCCGAGCCTCCCAGGTGGTTGGGACTACAGGCACTTACCACCATGCCAGGCTTTTTTTCACTTTTTTGTAGAGACAAGTCTCACTATGTTACCAGGCTGGTCTCAAATCCTGGCCTCAAGCAATCCTTCTGCCTCAGGTTCCCAAAGTGCTGGGATTACAAATGTGAGCCACTGCATCTGGCCCAGTTTTAATATTCTGATAACTTTCCTGCTCTAGAGATGGCTTTATTCCCAGATGGGAATTCTGGTTCAAATATTATATTCAATTTTGCATGTATGAGAGAGAATGGCAGGGAGACTTGGGCTAGAAACCTCTATTTCCCATTTTATCATACACCACTGTTTTGCTTGGGTAGAAGAGGAATTGAAGAAATTTTTGAAATTTGAAACTGACCCCAGTCTTCTCTTGTCCAGCTAGTAGCAGGCAAAAGATTACATATAAATAAATTTCCACTTTTTTACCCAGGACTTAGTTTAGTTTTTGCCACATTTGGTAACTTACCTAAACCGTGGCTGTTATTTTAATTGAACACTGCTTCAAGAATGACATCTGATATTCACTTTCAAAAATTTTTGGTTTGACAATTTAATCACCAGCTCTAATCATGCATCTAAACTTTTGCTGTTACTAACACTCCTTCCATAAATAGCGTTTATAATTTTACCCATATATCTTTGGAATCGATTTTGAAAAGTGGAATTACCAGGTCAAAGAGGAAATTTACCTAAATATTACCAAATTCTCAACCATAATGTTGTACCATTAAAGTACGAGAATAACTGCTTCCCCATAACTTCACAAATAGTGTATGCTGTCAGACTTTGGAATTATAGCCAATAGGTGAGAAATTACATTGTTTTAAAGTTTTAGTTTGCATTTCCTTTATATAAGTGAGGTTGAGCATGGTTTCATGTGATTAAGAGTCATTTCAGTTTTTTTTTTCTATAAACTGTGTTCACTTTTTAACCCATCATCCTACAGGGTAGTTGAGTTTTTTGTTTGTTTGTTTTATTAAGTTCTTTAAATATTAACTCTTGTCTGTGACAAAAATGCAAATGTTTTCATTTCCCGTATTTCACTTGTCTTTTTGCTTTTATTACAGCTTATTTCTCTTGGAGGTTTTTTTTTTTTTTTCATTATCATGTAATTTATATTTCTTTATTCAGAGGCCACTTAGGGTGCTGAGGTAATGACTCTCTGGGGAGGTAACATTAAACCATTAAACCTGAGAGGCCTCAAGGTAGGGTGGCTAATCATCCAGGATTGCTAGCACTAAGGGATTTCTCAGGAGTGGGACTTTAAGTGCTAAAACTGGGGAAGTCCGAGGTGAACTGGAATGAGCTAGTCACTCTACCTGAAAGTTGAGGTGGGTTGACCATGTTTTGAGGCCCGGTAAGAGTGTTTTGAGTTGCATAAACATCAAGGACAAGCCTTAAAGCAGAAAAGAACTAAACATTTTCTAAGAAGGGCCTTAAGACCATTGTAGAAAGAATGTAGCAGAGGAGGAAGAAAGTAGTTTAATTAGGTAATTAAATAGACCTTCTAGAGTTGAAAACTGCAATGTTTGAAATTAAAAATACACTGGGTAGGATAAACAGTGGGTTCAACACTAAATAAAATAGGATAGTGAACTTGAAGGCATAGCAATAGAGCCATCTATAATAAAACCCCTACAGAAAAAAGACTGAAAACACAAATGAACAGAGCATCGGGAACCTTCAAGCAGCCCAATATATGTGTAATTGAAGTACTGGAGTCCCTGATGAGAAGTAGGGGTTCAGAAAAATGTTTTAAATAAATAATGGCTTTAATTTTTCTAGGTTTGATGAAAGCTATAAACCTGTAGATTCAAGAAGCTCAACCAGCCCCAAGTATAAGAAGCAAGAAGAAAATTTTACTAAGGCATAATGTAACTAAATGGCTTAAAATAAAGAGAAACTCTTCAAAGCAGCCAGAGGAAAAAAAACTATAAAGTTTTGCTGTCTTCCTTAGATTGTGCAATGTTCAATTCCACACACCATGGCCTTGGGAAACCATAGGAGACAGAGGTTGGGGTCCTCTGGAACTAGAGAACATTGTTTTACTTCCCAAGTTGTATTCAGAATATAACAGAATATCAAATATGGACTATGGATTTTTTTAAATTTATTAATGTTTCTCCTTAGCAGGGCAGGAACCAGGGTAATCAACATATCAGGTACAAATTTTAAGGGGTGCCAAAAAATTGAGATAAATAATATTTTCATGTAATATTTTTAAGAACTAAAATGAATGCAAGAAAATCCATGATTATCAAAATATCAAAATTTGTATTTTCTGACCCTGAATAAAGAAGATAATTAGATAGAAGGGCCAGATCATGCAAGTGGGAATAACTTGTATTTATTCTAAAAGCTTTCATATACTATTGACAGGCTTTAATACAAGTGTTATGATTCATTCTTGTTATTTGGAACTTGTTTCTCTGTCACTGATAGAGCATTGGCTTTTGGTCCAGTTTTGAAGCTTTGCACTGCAGTCTATGAGAACCTTTATCTGTTATATTGAATCTCTTCTTGTCCACTTCAACCAACCCACATGACATCTATTGCAAAGGCCTGCACAAAGGGTGATGAAAAATCCTTGTTGGATAAACAAATGGCAGAAGGATTGAAAAGTGGTTCACACTTCCTACACGTCAATCTTTAAAGGGCCTTCTCAAGGGAAACAGCTGATAGGAAAGCTTTTAAAGGCCAGAAAACCCCTCCAGTGTAATACATAGCCTTTAAATTTACAGAGCTCCATTTTTCTATGTCTCTTCTTAAGGTTCAAGGGGAAGTATTTATAGGTTTACCCTCTAATAACTACATATTTCCCATGTTGTTGCACCTTTTTAAAGTGTAATAACAAAATGGTCTAATTATTCTGTCTTCAATCCCTGTGTACAATCATATTCTGTCAAACCTCTTTTCGGATTCCTTAACAATATATTAGATAAATTCTCTGGTTTTAGGTTATTAGAAAAGTCACTGAGCCCAGAACGACTTAAGACTTCAGTCTCATATCACCCACCCCCAGGAAAGGCCTCACTTTGGAGAACTTGGAGTGTGAATGGGATGTGGGGTTTGATTTTAGATTCTCACACTCCAACACCTTAGAGAAATGTTTGGTTCTGGAATATTTCCTCTCTCCTCCCACTTCTATGTCTAGCCATCTGTGTAAGCAGGGGATAGGAGGGAGTAGAAAAGAAGGAAAGGTATTGGTGGGGGAGGTATCCTGTCTTACTCTGACTCAGGTTCATTCCACCTGTTGCTGATGTTATTTACCAATGTGGTAATTTCCACAAGAATGTGAATAATTTTCTTGAGGTAGGAATTAAGTTTCACTCTGGCTCCCGCCATTGGTAAGCACACAAAGAAAAACTACTGTATCTTCTTTCAACACTGAGATTTTCACAAACCCACTTCTCTCTTTCTCTCTCTCTCTCTGGGGTTTCCATCTCTTTCAGGAGCCCAGTGGGCAACCTCACAGCCCTTCTTCTTGTTCTATTCAAGAGTTTTTCACTTCACTTGAAGGCACAGGGGCCTGCTGAGATGCTGTTCTGTATCTTCCAAGGGCAGAATTCAGGCATTCTCTCTAGCATCCATTTCCTCACACATCCATTTGCTAACATCATCCTGGTTTTCATTTGCAGAATAGCTCTTGTTCCTGCCACCACATTACTGTGCAGCACCTCTGTGGTTTGACTTTGGTTTGGATTTACTCTACTTTGGTTCTAGAGCTGGGCTTTGATTATTCAAAAGCAATCCACCTTAATTTAACTCTTTGCCATGGAAACAAGCTTGGGTATGAGTTCCAGTCTTCTTCTTCCTATGTGTGCAATCCAATGACTCCAAATTGTTCTGTTGATCTGGGAAATTCTGTCTCCAGATTTCTCCAGGGTGAGAAGCAGTCTTTTGTCTCTTTGGAAACTCTCCCCAAACTCCAGTAAATAAATGCCAGGCTCTGCCAAGAAATTAAGATTCATTCTCTCTCCTTTCTATGCCTGCAGATTCCATAGCTGAGTAATCTAGCAGAAAGGGGGTGAGATGTCAGCATGTCCTTTTTGTAGACACCCAAATTTCCACTCATTTGTAGAGGTTGGACCCCCCACTCACTTGGCTTTGGATGAAGGGAAGTACCTACACCCTCCATGGAAAGGAGGAAAGGTACTATAGATTCTCCTCTCCTCTCCCCAGTCTGGTAGCAGGTATGGACTATAAGGAAATCAGAAGGAACAGGGAGTACAAAGAGATGAGGGTGAAGCAAGGGACTAATAAAGACACTGCTAGTCCATATGGACTCTATTAATGAATTAAAGAGCAGTATTTCTGCTCTGGAAGAAGATAGCCCATGTGTACGTGGCTAGGTTAACAGAGTTCAGGCTGCATTTCAGTCCTTATTACCCTCTTGGCTTTGCACATTTGTACAATAAGAAACCTGCACAAAATAACTATGGGCTGTGGTCCTGATACTGCAGTGATAATCAGAGATACTGGGGCAGGTTTGGCTACTGCTTAATAAATATGAAAGAAGAGGGTCTGGCCTCAACTGTAGTTGCTGTGTTCTAACTGTGTCATTCAAGTGAGAAGCCAAAGGAAAATTTTCACACAACTTCCTTCTGAATAAATATAATTACTTAAGATTGAACATTGTGTTCAGTGATTTGTATTGCTGCGTGGAAAAAAAAGTTTTTAAAATAATATCCAAGGTTAATTTGCAAAGAGAAGCTATTGCTTATAATAATTTAGAGGAACCTGGCGCTTAAAAAAACAAAACTATATTTTGAGAATAAGTCACACTATCTTTACCTAACATACTCAAAATAGCAGGAACATATTTTAATTAAGAGAACCAAACTCTGGAACCAAATATAAAATGCACTAAAAAAGTCACACACACACAAAATAGCTTGCCTTTAGCCTGTTGAGAATTGTGTATAGCCAAATCTCCTTGATTTTTTTGATGTTTTTGGTTTGTTGATTTAGAAAAATTTATTTTTTATTTTTCTTTTTAAACAATGAAGATGAAAAGTTACTCATATTCTTTAGTTCAAGACAAAATAATCATCAGTTCCTCCATGATTTACTTATTCATTACTCTCATGTTTCTTCATTCCAGATTTATTCTTCTCCCAGCAACAGGCCAATATTCTAATGAGTTTAAAATATATCTGTGAACGTTTACATATCTTTGGAAAATGCATATTTTGGGGAAATATTTTTACATGTTTAATTTTAATTATGTTAAAATTATTTTATATCTATATTTTTATAATTATTTTATATAAAGTTTTAAACTATATATAATACCATAGAATTCTTTCTATTCATCAGTTTTGCATTTTCAGCACTGTTATTAAGCTAATTCACTTTTATTGTGTGTGCATGACTGTGTGTATGTGTGTGTATTATCTTTACTTCTACCTGCAACAGAATATTTCATAGTTTGCATTTATCACATTATGGTTATTCTTTATTTTAATAGTGTATTGCCTCCAACTCTGCACATACTGATCTATGTCTCCTTGTGAACCTGTGTAAAGCTTGGACAGCTGTGTCATAGGATATGTGCACACTGATTGTGACTAAGTACCACCATGTTGCTCTCCAGAATGCCCACAATGTTCTACACCATCACCCCAAAGAATATGGGCTTTCTACTTTTGCCAACAAACATCACCTTTACAATTAGCTTGCTGTGTCTGTCTTAAGGGGGCTTTCAGGAGACTAAGTCTAATTAATGCAAATGGATATGTATATTCTCAGAGATGCCTGAGAAGAAGTTGTGATGAAGACAGCTGTAAGGTGTGTAGATAGATACAGAGGGGATGTGAACATTGTTAATGAGGCTGATACCAATTGAATAGGCTAAATAGATGGTGAGTTAATAATATGAAAAGAAACTAGTTGTATTACTTTATTCTGTTTTTTAATTAAAAAATTTTATTGTGTACATTTAACGTAAAGAACACAATGTTATGGAATGCGTACTGATCTCTTACTCTCTTTCAAAATCATATTCTGATTATCACAGTTGCACATGCTTATTACAGATGTTGAGAAACTAAAGAAAAGTAGGACAATAAAAAATAATGTTTTTTTTCCAGGTGCAGTGGCTCCGGCCTATAATCCCAGCACTTTGGGAGACTGAGGCAGGATGATTGCTTGAGCCCAGAAGTTCAAGACCAAAGAGGCAATACAGTGAGACCCCATCTCTACGAAAACAAGCAAACAAAAGAAAACAATTAACCAGTCATGGTACTCTGGAGGCTGGGGTGGGAGAATTACTAGTGCCCAGGAGGTTGAGGCTGCAGTGGGCCGAGATTACACCACCGTACTCCAGCCTGGGCAACAGAGCAAGACCCTGTCTCAAAAAGAGAGAAAAAAAAAAAGAAAAGAAAAAGAAAAATTTGTACCATGTTTCTTATTAAGAAGCAAGTAGGCCGGGCACGGTGGCTCACACCTATAATCCCAGCGCTTTGGGAGGCCCAAGCTGGCGGATCATGAGGTCAGGAGTTTGAGACCAGCCTGGCCAATATGGTGAAACCCCGTCTCTACTAAAAATACAAAAATTAGCCAGGCGTGGTGGCAGGCGCCTGTAGTCCCAGCTACTCAGGAGGCTGAGGCAGGAGAATTGTTTGAACCCGGGAGGTGGAGGTTGCACTGAGCCAAGATTGCGCCACTGCACTCCAGCCTGGGTGACAGAGCGAGACTCGGTCTCTAAATAAATAAATAAATAAATAAAATAAGCTATTATTCTGTTCTATGATTTTACAATATATTCTTGAGATTTCATGATATCATATATTTTCTGTACTTTACCCAAAATATGTTTCATATTTGATTCTGTATAATTTAAAGCTTTTCCTCCAACATCATTTTAAAATGCTACTTCATTTGTTACATTGTATGGATAATGCCAACTTAAATCTCCATGTTATTTTTGAACTTATAATTAGAAGTTATGGTGATGATGATAAATCCCTGCAAATCTATAATTTATGACATTCCATGTAATAACAAACAAAGAAGACTTTTGCCTCTGATGTCACTGCTTGATCTCTCCCTTGATGCAAGAGTAGTGGCAACGTGAGTTCTTAATCAACTTGCTTTCTAACAGTCCAACTTTAAGAAAGTTTGATATCTAGATGAAAGTTTTCATTCACATTCTTTAAAGAGAATATAATTGAAAATGATAGAGCAGGAAGTCATGATGGAGTCTGAGGATGAGTCTCCTGATTTCACCTGATAGCACTGTTAGGGAATCATGGTATTAAAGGTGGTGGGAGGGAACAGTTGAAAAAAAATAGGACTTGTTAAATTTCCCCTTGGCATTAGAAAGCGGACAGGGTTGTCAGCTTGTCTAAACTTCCCACTGAGAAAAACTGAATGACTTGGACAAAATTCTCTAAAACTCTTTCTGAAGCCATAGGAGAGCTAAAAAGGAAGTGAGAATTTTTAGGGCCAACACTCCAGAAAGCAGGGAAGCCTAAAATGATGAGCCTAACAGTTGGCACTGCATTTCTCCTTGAGGCAGTTGCTGATTTTAAAACAGCAGCTGAGAGGCTACAAATCTAAGCATAAAGTGGAAGCTGAGAGTATTGGCATTCTTACAGGTCTGGGGGTGAAAATGGAGTTCAGGAGCTGTCAAAAAGGAGGAGTCTTTGCTTACAAATAAGATTTAATTGGGGCCCAGAAGGATTGCGTTGTAAAAATAAGTATTAACCAGATACAGAGTAGGTTCTACAAGGAGTCAAATTTAGCTTTGAAACAGCTCAAATCACGATGGGATTAAAGTACTACCCATTCCAAAAGTCCTGCTTGCACTTTTATCTCTAAACTATGCAATGCAGAATGTCTAGCATTCATTAAAAAAGTAACAAAGTGTATCAGTCAGGGTCCGGTTAGGAAACAAAACCAAGCAATGTATTTCAGTAGAAATAATTTAATATAAATAATATTTCAATGAAAATTGAAGAAACGGCCAGGTGCAATGACTCACACCTGAAATCCTGGCACTTTGGGAGGCCGAGGTGGGCAGATCACAAGGTCAGGAGTTTGAGACCAGCCTGGCCAATACGGTGAAACCCTGTCTCTACTAAAAATACAAAAATTAGCCGGGCATTGTAGTGGGTGCCTGTAGTCCCAGCTACTTAAGAGGCTGAGGCAGGAGAATCGCTTGAACCCAGGAGGTGGAGGTTGCAGAGAGCTGAGATTGCACCACTGCACTCCAGCCTCAGTGACAGAGCGAGACTCGGTCTCAAAAAAAAAAAAAAAAAAGAAAAAAGAAGAAAAGATAAAAGAAAAAAAGACGGAAAAGAAAATAGAAGGGCAAAAAAGAAAAGAACACTGAAGCATCACAAAGTTAGCAAATGCAGAAGCAACTTCTTCACTTACAACTGGTGGAGGAAGGGAAAGAGGTTAGAAATATTAAAGCAGAGGTTGGAAGACAGGACCCTCAGAGATAAATATGGAGACGTTAAGAGGTGTTTGCTGCTTAGCTGCTGGTATCACTGAGCTTGAAAGAGGATTCTTGAGGGGTTGAAACCCAGATTTCTCCAGGATATAATGCTGAGCAGCCTCAATAGGGATGATTCTGTGTCTGTCTGAAAAACTGAAAACTGGAATCCGTTGCTGCTACTTAAATGAACACTTGCCCTGGAGTGAAAATAACATTGTTAAGATAATACTGATAGGAACATGAAGAAAACGAAGAGAACATCCTTTCTGCCTTCTCCAACCTTCCAGTCTCCCTCACGTGTTCTTTATTAGCAGATCCTAACAGGAAGCCAGTGGCAAATTAGAAATGATTTTGCAGATTCTCACCCTTAGGGCAAAGTATAGAATTATGGGATTGAGACTGAGAAATCATAGATCAATAATTGCCACAGCAAGCATGTAAATGAACACAATTGACCAAGTGCAAGTGAAAAACCAGACAGTAGAATAGAGTTGGAGGAGATCCAGGTATTGGAGTTGCCTAATTATTTTCAAATAACTGTGATTAATACATTCAATAAATAAAATGACAAGATGGAAAGAATTTTGGTGAAGAACTGGCAACTACAAGAGCCCCTCAAAAGGAACCCAAAATGTATAACTGAAACTAAGAATTCAAGGAAAGTTCAACTTCTGATTAAGAAGTAATATTAATCATAATTAATAACAGAAAGACATAAAGACACTCATATCCATCAAACTGTTGAGAAATCAGTTAAATAAAACAAATAATGCACTATTTTCTTTAAAGACATTAAAGATCTGAGGACAAAAGGAATCTAAAAAGCTAGGCTTTGTCATGATGAACCCTTCCTAGGACAGGGTCGGGGAGGAACAGGAGAAAAGCAAGTGTATAACCAACTTTTGAAGGACGTGTATTAGCCTGGAGAATTTGAATCTGAAAGATTCCCAGATGTAAAAACAATTCTTTCTGCCTAACAATTCTCTTACAAGGGAATTTTTCTGGGTTAAGGAGGTGATATTTTCCAACTTGTTGAATAAAGCAAGCATAACTCTGATAGGGAAAATCTTACAAGAAACAAACCCTTAATAAAATATTAGCAAATCAAATTTCATAATACACAAAAAATATACTAAATCATAAAATGGTGGGTCTTACCTAAGGAATGCAAATTTATGTCAACATTCAATAATCCACTGATGTAATTCATCACAATAAGATATGAAAGGAGAAAAATCATACGAACATTTCAATATATGCAGAATAAAATATTTGACAAAATTCAACCCCCACTGATGATAAAAAAAAAACTCTCAGCAAAGTAGGAATACAAGGGTATTTCCTTAACCTAAAAATGTATATTTAAAATAAAGTAATATGGAATTAGAGATTTCTATATGTGAAACATATATATACATATAAATGATAATTCACATATATAAAAGAAATATGTAGAGATTGGAAATGAAGATATACATTTCTCATTATTCATAGATATAATTGTGTATGTTAAAATTCAAATGAATCCATAGATAAACTACTAGAAATAATAAAATAATTTGCCAATACTTTTGTTGGAATCAAGATTATTTTACAAGTATCAATTGCATTTCTATGTAATAGCAATATGATATTAGAATATGAAATCTTTAAAAAATGATACTACACACAATGGCATAAATCATCTAATTACTCAGAATAAATCTAACATAAGGAAATGAAGACCTCTGAACAGAAATCTATGAAGTATTATTGAGAGAAATTAAAGTCCTAAAATCCTGGTAGCTATGTTTATGAATCAGAAGACACACTACCAGCAAATTGTTTTTATTTCCAGATTGATCTATAGATTAAATAGAAAATTAGATCAAAATTCCAAGAGAATTTCTCTGTAGAGATTCAAAACCTAATTCTCACTTTTATATGGAAATCACAAGAATTCATAATAGCCAAGAAAATCTTGAAGAGAAACAACAAAATCTTAGACTTTAAACTTCTGCAATAGATAGCAAGGTATTGGTGCAATGATACACAAATCCAAAAAGACCAATGAGAAATATACACGTCCTATTAGCTCTGTCCCTCTAGGGAACCCTGACTAATACAGATTTTGGTACCAGGAGTGGTTCTAGAGGAATAGAATATTAAGGATGGAGTTCTTTCATTGGTTTTGGGCTTTCTGGAGTTGGCTGCTTAATATAAGACCCAAAAATGCTAAAGACTCTACTTCTAATAGTATGGAGAACACTGATCGTCCTTGGCATAAACTGTTTAGAGAGTTATGCAAAATAATTCCATTTGACACTCCTGATACACTGCTCATGAGAAGCAAGGAGTTTAGTGATTCTATACATAATACCTTTGACCATACGTAGAGAACCAACGAACATAATGAAGCTGGTTGGTTGCTCCTAAGTTCAGTGGACAAAGTGATGAAAGAAAATGATGAACTCAGGGATTCTGTCTAACAGCTTCAGAAGCAGACACTGAGCCTCAAATCTGCTAAGATTGCCCTGAGTGAGAGTTTTATCTCCAGTAGAGAAAGAGCTGAAATTGTGGAAAAACAAACACAAGCTCTTATCATGCGATTGGCTGACCTGCAACAAAAGGTGCTTGCACAGGCCTCGCCAGGTGTCTCCTGTTAAAACGAGGGCATTGATTGGAAAAGAATGGGGCTGGGCGTGGTGGCTCATGCCTGTAATCCCAGCACTTTGGGAGGCCGAAGCGGGCGGACCTGAGGTCAGGAGTTAGAGACCAGCCTGACCAACATGGAGAAACTCCATCTTTATTAAAAATACAAAATTAGCTGGGCTTGGTGACTCATGCCTCTAATCCCAGCTACTCAGGAGGCTGAGGCAATTCAGCAAATGCCATTGCACTCCAGCCTGGGCAACAAGAGCAAAACTCCATCTCAAAAAAAAAAAAAAAAAAAAAAAAAAAAGAATGGAACCCTGCAACTGGGAATGGGGATGTGTGGGACGAACCTGATGAAGCTGGAGACACGGAGTTTGCAAACTCTGATGAACCTTTTTTGCCAGAAGAAACAGCTTCCGCATCCCCAGTAGTGGCAACATCCCCTCCCTGACCCATGCTGTCATCAGCGTTTCCACCTTTGTATGAGGAGATAAACTCTGTGCTGCCTGAGGCAACAGTGATGGCCTCCCCCAAGGCAGTTTCCAGGCAAAATAATGTTGATTCTCCTCAGGAGCCACCCCCAACACCCCTGTTTGCTTCTAGACCTATAACTAGACTAAAGTCCTGGCAGGCCCCTAAGGATGAGGTTGGGAGGGTGACCCATGAGGAGGTGTGCTACACTCAAAAAGAACTGCTTGAGTTCTCTAATGTATAGAAACAGAAATCTGGAGAACAGGCATGGAAATGGATGTTAAGAGAATGGGATAATGGTGGAAGGAACACAGAGTTGAATCAGGCTGAATTTATTGATTTGGGCCCACTAAGTAGGGACTTTGCAGATAACGTTGGGCAGTTATAAAAGGTTCTAATAGTTTATTTGCTTAGTTCGCTGAAATATGGATTAAAAGATGGCCCACCATGAGTGAGCTGGAAAAAGGTTCTAATAGTTTATTTGCTTAGTTAGCTGAAATATGGATTAAAAGATGGCCCACCATGAGTGAGCTGGAAATGCCTGATCTCCCTTGGTTTAATGTAGAGGAAGGGATCCAAAGGCTTAATGAGATTGGGGTGGTGGAGTGGATGAGTCACTTTAAACCTGCTCATCTCAGCTGGGAAGGTTCAGAAGATATACCCCTGACCAATGGCTTGTGAAATAGATTTGTGAGGGCAGCACCTGCATCTTTGAAGAGCCCTGTAATTTCTCTTCTCTGTATGTCAGATCTAACAGTGGGAACAGTAGTCACTCAACTATAAAATTAAATACAATGGGAATAATTTGATCCCCAGGTGGCAGGGGCCAAGTGGCAGCACTCAACTGTCAAAGGCAAGGTGGACGTAGCTACCGTAATGAACAGCAGAGATAAAGCAGCAATCAGAATAGTCTGACACATGTAGAGCTCTGGCACTGGCTAATTAATCACAGTGTTCCTAGAAATGAAATTGATAGGAAGCCTACTGCATTCCTACTTAATTTATATAAGGAGGAAACTTCTAGGTTGAATGGACAAAAGTCTAACTTGAAGTATAAAAACAGAGAATCACAGCCTCTCAATCAATTTCCAGGCTTGAGCCAGTTTACAGACCCAGAACCCCCTGAATGAAGGGGAGGCCAGGTCCTTTTGAGGAAGGACCCCACTACATTACTAATAATTTACGTAGTGGATCTTTCCCCCATCCTTCCCAAAGGAGACTCCTGGCCTTTTACCAGGGTAACTGTACATTGGAGAAAGGGAAACGATCAGACATTTCAGGGACTACTGGACCCTGGCTCTGAGTTGATGTTGATTCCAGGGGACCCAAAAGATCATAGTGGTTTTCCAGTTAAAGTAGGGGCTTATGAAGGTCAGGTAGTTAATGAAGTTTTAGCTCAGGCCTGACTAAAAGTGGGTCCAGTGGGTACCTGGACTCTTCCTACGATCATTTCCCCAGTGCCAGAATGCATAATTGGCATAGACATACATAGTATCTGGCAGAACCCCCACATTGGCTCCCTGACTGGTAGGCTGAGGGCTATTATGGTGGAAAAGGCCAAATGGAAGCCATCAGAGCTGCCTCTACCTAGAAAAATAGTAAATCAAAAACATTATCGCATCCCTGGTGGGATTATGGAGATTAGTGCCACCATCAAGGACATGAAAGACGCAGGGGTGATGATTCCTACCACATCCCCATTCAACTCTCACATTGGGCCTGTTCAGAAGACAGATGGATCTTGAAAAATGACAGTGGATTATCATAAACTTAACCAAGTGGTGACTCCAATTGCAGCTGCTGTACCAGATGTGGTTTAATGGCTTGAGCAAATTAACACATCTCCTGGTACCTGGTACGTAGCCGTTGACTTGGCAAATGCCTTTTTCTCCATTCCTGTCCGTAAGGCCCACCAGAAGCAATTTGCCTTCAGCTGGCAAGACCAGCAATGTGTCTTTACTGTCCTACTTCAGAAGAATATCAACTCTCCAGCTTTGTGTCATAATCTTATTCAGAGAGACCTTGATTGTTTTTTGCTTCCACAAGATATCAAGAAAGAGGCACAATGCCTAGTGGCCTATTTGGATTTTGGAGGCAACACATTTGGGTGTGTTACTCTGGCCCATTTATCAAGTGACCCAAAAGGCTTCCAGTTTTGAGTGGGGTCCAGAACAGGAGAAGGCTCTGCAACAGGTCCAGATGTGCAAGCTGCTCTGCTGCTTAGGTCACATGACCCAGCAGGTCCAATGGTGCTTGAGGTGTCACTGGCAGATGGGAATGCTGATTGGAGCCTTTGGCAGGCCGCTACAGGTGAATCACAGTGGAGGCCTTTAGGATTTTTGAGCAAGGCCCTGACATCTTCTGCAGATAACTACTCTCTTCTGAGATACAGCTCTTGGCCTGTTACTGGGCTTTGGTGGAAACTGACTGCGGGTCATCAAGTTACCATATGACCTGAACTGCCTATCATGAACTGGGTACTTTCTGACCCATCTAGCCATAAAGTGGATCATGCACAGCAGCATTCCATCATCAAACGGAAGTGGTATATATGTGATCGAGCTTGAGCAAGTTCTGAAGACATAAGTAAGTTACATGAGAAAGTAGTTTAAATGCCCCTGTCTCCACTTTTGCCGCCCTGCCTTCTCTTCCCCAGCCTGCACCTATGGCCTTATGGGGAGTTCCCTATGATCAGTTGACAGAGGAAGAGAAGACAAGAGCCTGGCTCACAGATGGTTCTTTAAGATATGCAGGCACCACCCGCAAGTGGACAGCTATAGCACTACAGCCCCTTCTAGGACATCCCTGAAGGACAGCGGTGAAAGGAGATCTTCCCACTGGACAGAACTTTGAGCAGTGCACCTGGTTGTGCACTTTGCATGGAAGGAGAAATGGCCAGATATGTGATTGTGTACCGATTCTTGGGCTGTAGCCAATGGTTTGTCTGGATGTTCAGGGACTTGGAAGAAGCATGGTTGGAAAATTGGTGACAAAGAAATTTGGGGAAGAGGTATGTGGATGGACCTCTCTGAGTGGTCCAAAACTGTTAAGATACTTGTATCCCATGTGAGTGCTCATCAGTGGGTGACCTCAGCACAGGAGGATTTTAATAATCAATTGGATAGGATGACCTGTTCTGTGGACACCACTCAGCCTCTTTCCCCAGCCACCCCAGTCATTGCCCAATGGGCCAAGGAGCAAAGTGGCCATGGTGGCAGGGATGGAGGTTATCCATGGGCTCAGCAACATGGGCTTCCACTCACCAAGGCAGACCAGGCTATGACCACTGCTGAGTGCCCAACTTGCCAGCAGCAGAGACCAACACTGAGCCCTCAATATGGCACTATTCCTCAGGGTGATCAGCCAGCTACTTGGTGGCAAGTTGATTATATTGGACCTCTTCCATCATGGAAAGGGCAGAGGTTTGTCCTCATTGGAATAGATACTTACTCTGGATATGGGTTTGCCTATTCTTCACACAATGCCTCTGCCAAGACTATCATCCATGAACTCACGGAATGCCTTATCCACCATCATGGTATTCCACACAGCATTGCCTTTGACCAACTCACTCACTTAATGGCTAAAGAAATGTGGCAGTGGGCTCATGCTCATGGAATTAACTGGTTTTACCATGTTCTCCATCATCCTGAAGTAGCTGGATTGATAGAATGGTGGAATGACCTTTGAATTCATAATTACAACACCAACTAGGTGACAATACTTTGCAAGGCTGGGACAAAGTTCTCCAGAAGGCCATGTATGCTCTGAATCAGCATCCAGTATATGGTACTGTTTCTCCCATAGCCAGGATTCATGAGTCCAGGAATCAGGGGTGGAAGTGGAAGTGGCACCACTCACCATCACCCCTAGTGATCTACTAGCAAAATTTCTGCCTCCTGTACCCACAACATTCTGTTCTGCTGGCCCGGAGGTCTTAGTCCCAGAGGAAGGAATGCTGCCACCAGGGGACCCAACAACGATTCCTTTAAACTGGAAGTTAAGATTGCCACCTGACACTTTGGGCTCCTCTTACCTTTAAGTCAACAGGCTAAGAAGGGAATTACAGTGTTGGCTGGGGCGATTGACCTGGACTATCAAGATGAAATCAGTCTACTACCCCATAAGGGAGGTAAGGAAGAGTATGCATGGAATACAGGAAATCCATTGGATGTCTCTTAGTATTACCATGTCCTGTGATTAGGGTCAATGAGAAACTACAACAGCCTAATCCAGGCAGGACTAAAAATTGTCCAGACCCCTCAGGAATGAAGGTTTGGGTCACTCCACCAGGGAAAAAAAAACAGGACCTGCTGAGGTGCTTGCTGAAGGCAAAGGCAGTACAGAATGGGTAGTAGAAGAAGGTAGTCATCAATACCAGCTACGACCAGGTGACCAGCTGCAGAAATGAGGACTGTATCTGTCATTAGTATTTCCTCCTTCTTTCGTTAAAAATATGTTTGTGCATGTATGCACTTGTACTAAGAAAATATCTTCATTTTATTTCCTTTTCCTTTATCATGTGACATAAGATTTATTGACTTCATATTGGCGTTTAAGTATTGTTAACTTTATGTAATAGCATTTGTGTTGGGGATTGGTGCATTTCCAGTCGTATAGTTGTATTTTGTTAGGCATAATAATGACCTTATTATTGTCTTTATTTGAAGATTATGTATTATCTCAGAATATGTATTATCTCAGGATATGTGTATGGGTTCAAGTTGACAAGGGCTGGACTTCTGATTGTTAATACTCAGTTCAACTTGATTGGATTGAAGGATGCAAAGTATTGATCCTGGGTGTGTCTGTGAGGGTGTTGCCAAAGGGGATTAACATTTGAGTCAGTGGGCTGGGGAAGGCAGACCCACCCTTAATCTGGTGGGCACAATCTATCAGCTGCCAGTGAATATAAAGCAGGCAGAAAAACATAAAAAGGCAAGATTGGCCTAGTCTCCCAGCCTACATCTTTCTCCCATGCTGGATGCTTCTTGCCCTCAAACTTCGGACTCCAAGTTCTTCAGTTTTAAGACTCTGACTGGCTCTCCTTGCTCCTCAACTTGCAGACAGCCTATTGTGGGACCTTGTGATTGTGTAAGTTAATACTTAGTAAACTCCCCTTAATATTATTACTTAATAAACTAATACATATATATAGGATATACATGTATCCCATAGTGCTTCAGAATTCTGCCAACTTTTATTTTCAGTATCTTCTTTCATACTTCACTTTCCTGGTTGTACCTAACAAATTATACAAATTATTTTAAATTATGATGATTAATATTTTAATAACATAAAATCTAGTATTTAATCAAAATTTGCCATTGTTTAGAAACTGTTATGAGCTGTGGGCTTGTATTGACATAGTACACTCATAAGATATATGTATATATATCCTATTATAATAAGATACATGTTATTATTATATCTTATTATAATAGGATATATATACATATATCTTATTAGTTCTCTCTATGGAACCCTGACTAATACATATACCATATATGAAACAATAATATCTGCTCTCCATGTAGTTTTCAAACTCGGTCTCACTACAAAATTACAAAACCACAACAGTAATTTCCAATGGATGCTACATTTCCATTGGACGTACATTTTTAAAAAATTTCACTTTTGAATCCAATAATTTCCATGAGCTTTCAGTAGCATATTGAGCATTAGAAGTTAATTATATTTCCACTGAGATACCCAGGATGATAATGTTCACATATATGTCCCATAGCATTTGGTAGAACTCTGCCTCTAAAGATGATTACTTGTTACCTATTTTCTAATTGAAGATGAAAGTCCAATTATTTGAAATATCAACACTGAAAATGATTAGTTCCCAGTGGAAAGTATGCTGGCATGAGCTTTAGAAATAAATTTTCTATATGCAAGTTCTGTATTCAATAGTTACTAATTATCTGACCCTAAACATGTAACATAACTCCTGTTCTACTCAATTTGTACATATGTCAGATCGAAATTAGTTAAATGTAATTCTCTCCTAGAATGAGTGTACTATGTCAATACAAGCTAACAGCTCATAACAGTTTCTAAACAATGGCAAATTTTGATTAAATACTAGATTTTGTTATTAAAATATTACTCATCATAATTTAAAATAATTTGTATAATTTGTTAGGTACAACCAGGAAAGTGAAGTACGAAAGAAGATACTGAAAATAAAAGTTGGGAGAATTCTGAAGCACTTCATTTGCACCAACAACGAATTTTACTTTTATCTTCTAAGTAGTTTACCAGTTAAAATATTTTCTAACCCTGGTCTCCAAAATTTTTTATTTATAGTCACATCCCTAGCCATTCCATATTCCCTGAACTTCCAGGTAAAGTTAGCTAAATCTGATTTCACACTGCCATTGAACTTTGTTCTAATACTGATAGCTAAAACATATTCTAAGATTCATTTACAGATTTGTTTTCCCAGGCCAAGTGAGTTTTTCCAATTGTAAGGATAACTGCTTAGATTTTTTCTATCCATTCCATAAGGTTATTTCTGGTTTGTTTATTACTATATGTCTAGTGTTCAGTGCAGTGCCAGAAACATAGAAGGTGCACAAAATATTTATGAATTAATAGATAAGTCTGTTTTCAATACCAAAAACATATTTGCTCCTAAAACCTTTTATGGAATGTGTCAGTGCCAGATAAAAGAATATAAAGATAGATAGATGGCTGGATAAATTTAAAGTTTATACTTAGGGAGAAAGATACCTCAGCCAAATCTGTACCAGAAAAGTTTAAAATGTTTGAGAGACTCCAAAAAAAGAGGATATGAAACAGCATATAACTCCAGGGTTAGTTTAAATAATATTAATCTCTGGTTTTACTTAGTTTGTTTTATGATATAGAATTGAGATTTCTACACATTACATTAAAAAAATTTGGCCGGGTGCAGTGGCTCACGCCTGTAATCCCAGCACTTTGGGAGGCTGAAGAAGGCAGATCACAAGGTCAGGAGTTCGAAACCATCCTGGGCAATATGGTGAAAACCCCGTCTCCACTAAAAATACAAAAATTAGCCGGGCATGGTGGTGGACACCTGTTGTCCCAGCTACTTGGGAGGCAGAGGCAGGAGAATCGCTTGAACCCAGGAGGCTATAGGTTGCAGTGAGCCAAGATTGTGCTGCTGCACTTTAGCCTGGGCTACAGAGTGAGACCCAGTCTTAAAACAAACAAACAAACAAAACCATTTACTTATTTCTTACCTACATGGAATAAAGGATTTGTCCCTACTATTTAGATTTGTACATAAGTCAAATAGTTTCAGAATTTCATTACATACTTTAGAAATAAGATTTTTTAAAAAACCCCTAGAAACAACTAGTAAGCATTTATATTATCTATGTTTGCTATTTCTTGAGCATTACATAAGTCTTGTTGGGGTCAGGATCATATGTTCTTAATATTTTGACAGTACCTTATAGATAATTGAAAAAAATATGCTGAATAAAACCTACAGAACAGTTAAAAGCAGAGATGTTTTAATTTGTGAAAACAGAAGAGCACAGAGTTTATATTTTTGAGAATAATTCTTAGGTTTTACTTTAAAATGCCTATATTATCCCATTAAGACATATGGGGCAATAGGACTAGGAAAATCTAAGAGTGATCATAATGGAGATTTCCACTGAACAATAGGATCTACTAGACACAGAATGTTGAGTCCAAGATAAATAGCCAAGACAAATAAAGTCAAGTGTCCAAAAGTTTCCAGTATCCAGAAAGTCAAAGAGTTAATAAACATTGTATATTAGTAGCAATTTCATTAGTATACATTGTAAAATCTGGGTCACAAACCGAGGCATTACTTTCTTCCTTGTTCATACTCTTTGCTTAGTGAATGTGGCTTGGGTCAACAACTGCTCATCCATCCAACCATACAATCATTTGCTGAGTAAGTATTGGTTGATTATCTACTAAGCGTTAAAGACTAAGCACTAGGGGCCCAGGGATTGGTAACATAGACACCTGTTTACCTTCAAGAGCTTAAAGGCTAGAAGGGAAATAAACTGATTAAATTATCAGTCATAGTAAAATATGATAATGCCATGACAGGGGCTTCATATAGAAGAAAGAACAGGAGTAAATTGCCTATTCTAGAGAGGATCAAAAATGAGATTTTGTCTGAGTGGAGAACTAGAAGATATACAGGAATTTGCCAACTGAATAAGTGAGAGAATGTTTCAGATAGAAGGAACAGCAATTGAGGGTATCAAGAAGATGGTCATCAGCCTGAGGATGAAGACTTCCTCTTATGTAGTGTAGCTCGAGTGAGACTGAGGTCACCTCAAGACCCACACCAAATGGAAATATGGATGCAGCAGGTAGAAGGCAATTTTACTTTCTTATTCTTTATAATCATGAGGAAATCAGAGAAGTTCACTGTAGGCCAGAACACTGATAGCAGCCCTCTCAGGAAAGACAAGTGAATACCCTTGAGATGATTGACTACTACTGGCCAAATGAGAAGTCAAGAAAATTTCAAACAAATTTTGGACAGATACTTGGGTTGTTTTATATAGAAGAGGATCATGGGACAAAAGAGCCAACATTCACAAAATTCAGGCTCAGGGATAAGTGACACTTATTTTAGATAATCTATATGATTGAGCTTCTTGATTCTCCAAAGTGTCTGAGCCAACGTACACTTGAGATATTACTGCTGGAGGTATGCACAAATGTATTGGCCACTGTATTAGTCTGTTCTCATGCTGCTAATAAAGACATATCTGAGAAGGAGTAATTTACAAAGAAAAGAGGTTTAATTGGCTCACAGTTCCACATGGCTGGGGAGGCCTTACAATCATGGCAGAAGGCAAGTGAGGAGCAAAGTCATGTCTTACATGGTGGCAGGCAAAGAGAGCTTGTGCAGGGGAACTCCCATTTATAAAACTATCAGATCTCATGAGACTTATTCATTACCATGAGAACACTATAGCGAAAACTGCCCCCATGGTTCAATTATCTCCACCTGGCTCCACCCTTGGCACATGGGGATTATTATAATTCAAGGTAAGATTTGGATGGGGACACAGCCAATGTCAGACACCAGCCATTCCTTGGTGCCCTGAGTTTGCTTCAAGCACATGGATCAAGGAAAACCCTTATTTCAAGACATCTTCCAATCCTATTGATCTCAGATGACAAGAACAGAACTCTGTAAAACTACACATACTTATTCCCAGAGGTTCACAGCTACTTTTAGCTGTCTTTGATAAAATGATCAAGCAAGGCTGGACTATTGCCTGCCTCAGGGCTCTTCTGCTATCTCTGAAGACCTTCCTGATAGACACAAGAATTATGTTATCATATCAGGAACCATTGTCCCAAATTAGCTCAGAGTAAGCCTATGCAACTGTATTGGGTTCTATGCTCTGCTGGTGCTGATGCTGAATTCCAGTAAAATTTTCTCTAGAATTAACTCTAAGCCACCTTTACCTCATGATATTTATTGCCCAATTTGGATTTCAATATTTCCAGACTGAATATTTACAGCATGTAGATTTAAGAGAAATCCTCACCCAGATATATATATATTGAAGAAAACAGAATACCTGTAAATTTTTTTAATAAATGTGTGCTTGAGTCTGCAATGCACATTTGGTCTTATCATTTCTTAATTTTTTGTGCTAATCTATTTTTTATGAAAAATAAGTATTTTCCAAGACAAAAACTGTTTTGGTGGAAAGACTGGCATTGCTGTATGTTTTTATAATTTTTTTTTATGCCAGGCTTAATAGAAGATACCTGGACTCTTAAATTTGCTTTTACATTCAATCTGATACATGTTGTTTTATCTGAAGTATACAAAGAAAATAGGTCCTCATATAGACAAGTATTTTAGGAGGAGAGGACCTTATGGAATCCCTGAAAGAAGACCCCAGGGCCTTCAAAGCACACTTTAGAAATGTTGATTAACCCACAGTGGGCAATAAGTATTTACTGAATTTGGAGAAGAATGAAATAAACCCTGACATAGGAGGAAGAAGAGTCACAGAGACGTGATTGTAAAATTTAGTTAATGCTAACATAAAAGCAGCTCTCCTTCTTCTTCTCTTCCTCCTTTTCCTCCTAGTCCTCTTCCTTCTCCTCCTCCTCCTCCTCCTCCTCCTCTTCTTCTTCTTCCTCCTCCTCCTCCTTCTTCTTTCTGTAGGTTGTTCTTTATGGTACAGTTTATCATCTGGGAGGAAATTAATGTCTCTATTTTTCCCCCTTTATCTAATCATTTGATGGTTTTATTACACTTACATGGGCAAAGATACTGGTGAACATATAGCATCGTTCATTAGACAATAACCTACTTTTTAGGGCACAGATTCTACATTGTCCTCTCCTTAGAGAGGGGCAAGACTATTCTTTGAGTATTTAGATTTAAATGCATTTGACCTTATTGTAAAATATACATGAAACATCCTATGTGGTTCATCTCTGTACTACATTCTTAATTATTTGTTCATATTCATTGAGTAGATGAAATCTGTATTTGTCATTTACCCTCTGTCACTACATCAAACAGGAAGTTAGCACAGTAGAAACTCATGAATAAGTGTAACATTCAGCAAGCATTGGTTGAATTAGAAGATTAAAGGGTTGGTTTTGAAGATGAATCTCTCTACCCAGACATATCCCCATGTCTAAATTAAGCTTAAACCTTTGTGTGGGGCTTCTTTGTTACTTTTGAAAGGACATGAATAAGGTGGTGTCACACCCTGCAGTAGTGGTGGGGGACTTCAGCCACTTGGCATCCAGTCCTATTCCGTGACATTCTGAAATGATAGATGTTTATTCCCTTCATTTCCAGCAGCTACAAGTTGGCTGATATAAAATGAATATAATAGTAACTCTCAAAAGACTTTGGAGCTAGAAATTTTGTACTTTGAAAACATTTGATGGGGTTTAGAAAAATAATGTATACAGAAGATATTATTAATAATAAAAGGAAAAGGAGATTAAATATTTCTAAATACTACAGCTCCTTTGATAGGGCTAGTTCAAACCTACTTCATTTAGATATATGTTTACCCTTTATTTTTAAACTATTTAATAGCACTAAGTGCTACTCACTTTACATGAAAGTGAAAATATTAAAACAATTTCTCTACATCTGGAGAGACAAAAGGGCACTAATCAGTGCCATCACCTACAGGCAAAACTAAATGGTATCACACTCCAAAATATGCCTAAAGAAATTTGTTTGTTTGCATGTTTTGATAAATGTATAAATGGTTGTTAGTCTAAGATAAATACAATTTATTCTGTCTTTTAAACTTGCTTATTTTTTGAAGATCCATTTATTTCTTCCAATGCTGTATTTCACTTAGAACCATTGGATCCATCTTTTCTAAGTGTCCTTTGTTTATTGAATATTTGGACTTTTACAACAATGATGTTTTCATCTTTGAACTTCCAACCCACTGATAACGGACTAAATTATATACTGCTAAGGTTCTTCAACTACATAAAATCCTTGTAATGTTTTTATTTACCTTCAGTAATAATATTCAACCACTCCCATGGCATCACCTTGGAGGTGGAGCCATTGGCAGCCATTTAGGTAGATAACTCACTTTTAGAGTTTTGATTTTAAAAATATGTAAGAAAAATACCTGTTCACCCACACATCTCATACAGACATAAGATACAGGTAAGGACAAATTTGGTTAGGAATACTGTTCCAGATTTGCTAGGAATCTTGAAATATCATATAGAATTTACCTATTTATTCAACCAGCAAATGTTGCTAGGTGCCTGTTGTAGGTATGATAATATATTGAAAATTGTACAAATTACAATAAATCACAAGACTGTCCTGGAGGGACCTATAATAACACACAGAAAAAACATTCAAACATTTTAAAAGTTAAAAAAAAAACAAAGAGCAACAAGACTACATTGCTTGTTTAAAGTAGAAAATTAGAAAAGGTGACACGTTCCTCTTAATTCTTATCTCCACAGTTAAAAATAAACAAGTGTTATAGAAAATGCATGTTTCTGATATTTTAATTTTTCTAGTGTTGTGTTTTCTTGGTTATCGTTTCTTTCTAATCGTACCAAGTTTGCTGCATGTTTCTATTGAAATGATGTATGTAAAATAGTCAAACTCATTGAAACAGAGAACAGAATAGGGGTTGCCAGGGACCGTGGGGAGAGAGCAAGGAGGAGCTGCTGATCATTGGGTCTAAAATTTCAGTAATCCACCATAAATAAGACTAGAGGGCTGCTATATGGCATTGTGCCTATAGTTAACAATATTATACTCTAACTTAATATTAAGTGAAAAGGTAGATCCCATGTTAAGTGTTCTTGCCATATTAAAACAAAAATAAAATTTTTAAAACAATGTCGATTCAATTACCACCTATATGCTAATGATTTATATATGTCTACACATATACATACATACATATACACATACACACACATACCTATACGTACACACACACACACTTATATATCTTTAGCCTGTATCTCAGTCTTATTACTTAGCCTTATCTCTTATCCGTTAAAAAATGCCAGACATAGTAGGGCATTTGCTGAATAAATTATCTGATAAAATAAATGAAGTAACTGGCACTTCCTTTATAATTCTGACTAACAAGGAAGCACCAGCTGGTGATTCAGAGGTGAGTATGATATTCTGAGAAAGCGCCATAAAAGGGCGGGAAAGAAACAAAAGAAGAAGACAGACTTGTGCTCTATATTTGGGAGAAGCAGATTTCAACATATTCAGAGAACATTATAATAGTACCCTATAGATACGTGCTATTAAAGGAAAAAGATCCCTTGACTCATCCAGCTGTATTTACTGAGTGGCTTTTATGTACCCACTGTGCCAGGCATTGCGACAATTTCAGATAAAGAATGAGAAGCCCTGAAAAATGAATTTCTGACAATAAAACTGATCATAAGAAAGATGATCTCAAACACTTTCTAACTCCAAGATTATGTGATTCTCTAATCCTCCCTGTGGATAAGAGGTTTCCACAAAGTGAGGGAAAAAAACATTGTTGATCTGCAAGAACTGGAAATTTTACAACCCACCCTCCCTTAAAAATGTATAATCTATGACAGAAGCATGCTTCAAACAGAATATTGGTGTTAGACAATGTCAATATCACTAAATTTCATTTGAGATAAGGTTCTCTTACTGTGAGATTATTCATAAACATATCTTTCTTATCTGCATGAAGCTTCTCTGGGGAAAAAATATTTATTCTGTAATTTTAAATCTTATACTTTGTTTAAAAAGAATATATAAAGTAAAATTTGGAAAGTATAAAAAAGTGTAAAGCACATGAAATAAAAAGCATAAAGCAGGTATATTGATAAGTAACCTGTAATTTCACTACCTTACTACAAATATTTTTACATTTCATTTATTAAAAAATAAATTGCTAATATATGTTGCATATATTTCTTTATTTTTAAGTAATAGTATTATGTTTTATACACTGGATATAGGTCTATGCTCTGAGAATGCAATTTTTATTCAGAATGTGAACCAACAACAATGGTTGAGAAATAATAATAATATATTGCAACACGAATCCAAAGAGAAATTATTTGAAGACAGTTTGTTCTTTCAGATGCTAGCACCAATAACCAAAGTTGACTCTATTTTACTGAACTGTGCAACAATGAATACAATCTTAGCTTTCACTCACTCACTGAGCATTTACTAGGTGCCTGACATGGAATTGAGCATATCATATGTTCTGTATACTTTTCTTGAGTTCTGAAGGACCTTAAACCAAATTTAACTGATTGAAAGAGAGAGATGGGGATTGACAGAGCATGGCTTAGAGTTCCCCTGGTCTAGGTAGATAAGGTAAACTGAGAGCAATGAAGCCTTTCCATTTTAGCTGAATTATCTCAAGGGTGATCCTCACATGCCTTCAGGAATCACTCATTTCTAAAGCAAGATCAACATCAGTTGCTAAAACTGGGCAAGTTGGGTTTGTCAAAGGGAAAGCCATCGCATAAAGGATGGAGCTCTGAGTCAGGCTGAGCCATGCCCTTAGCCATGCAAACAGCTCTGTCTTTCTGTTCCTTCATTCCAAGGCCCCTTTTCTGAGATAGCTATCACTAAACTTGCTTATTCCTTTTTAACATGCTATTCATTACTCCAGTGAAGGCAGATTTTAGAAGGAAAACATGCCAACCTGAGAGGATGGAGGTTATATTCCATTATCACAGTAAGGAATGTACCTAGTTGGAGAACCATTTAAATAGGATGAGTTCCCCTATTCAAAGGAATAAAATATTGCAGGAATGATGAGAATGAAACATGTGTAGGGGCTATTAAATCATTCTCCTAATGGTGGGAGCAAGGATCTCTGAGGAGACAGAAGAAAACAGAGGGACAGATCTAGAGAAAGACAGCCCTGCTAGCAAGCGTAGTGTAAGCAAGGCAGATCAAAGAGAACCTGCAAAAGAAATGACATTTGTGTAGCTAAGGGACATGCTTCAGAGCTGTTTAGGCTGAGTTGGTAGCGCAAAGGGAAGGCCCAGGTCCTGCTGAATAGACACCACTGCCTTGGCTCATTCTCCCTCATTCTTGTGCCTTTGCTTACTTAGTCATCGTTTTTCTGGAAAGCTTGAGTTACTTGCTCCTCCAGTGTTCTCATATGAAAGCCTGACTTTTACTCTTAGAAATTATCAGTAGAATGCAATACTTAAGGATGTGACTCTGGACCCCAACAATCCTCAGTTCAAGTCTCAGCATTATCACTGACTGACTGTGATTTTTGGCTAAAATAAAATTGCTGTGCCTCCATTTTTTTTTTTTTTACCTGTAAAATGACATTAATGGTACTATCCAATTAGTTCATTGTGAGAACTAAATGAGTTAACACATGAAGACAAGTTTAATACTATTCAATACTTAGGAAAGTATCTGATAATAGTCACTCCTCAATGGATTTTGGCCATGGTTATGACCACTGTTTGTAGTTTGTATTCTTGTTTGTATTCCCCACTAGAAAGTAAGTTCCATGAAGACATGGGCTTGGGTGTTTATTATTACAGGGCTTCTCAACCCTTCATAACCCACATATTCCCTTTCAGTCCATACATACAAACCCTCTCAGGATCTTGTTAAAGACAAAGTCTATCTCAATAGAGTTGGGTTGGACTAAGTTTCTGTATTTCTAATAAGCTCCAAGGTGGTGAACTGTCCATTTAGTTAGATTAACAACACAGTAAAAATAAAAGCCACCTGACAGCTAGGAATGCAAATCCTGGAGGATTTGGCCAGCACCACACCCCTACTTCTTTCTGCTTTGGTTCCATGGAGTAAGCTTTACACTCTATTTGAAGATGACAAGACTGCCCATGCCGCTCCTTTGTTTTGCTCCTGTAGACAGGTAAAGTCAGTGTCACTGGAAGAATAAAATCTCAAATCAGTTTCTCCGTGTGGTGAGTTTCCCAGACTCCTGTTCCAGTGTCTACTCATTTGATCAGGTGGCCAGAGACCCTCAGGGAGAGAGACTGAGTCTACTCTGTAAATTGTAGTCAAGTGGGTTTTCCCCGTTTCTTCTGGTCCAGTAAATAGACGGACTTCTGAGCAGTGGCTGAGAAGCTGGTTCTCTACCAGAAAAGCAGGCACCTCTTTTGGTTGAACATGAAGTTCTTTGTGGGTTATGAAAACCACCCAATCACCAATCTGAGGGATCAAGGAGTATCACCAGAACGTGGGTCCACATTTTTACAAATTCCTATTCGATGGCTTGTGAGTACCTACATAGATTTCCCACTATTAGTATTTCCTTTATGGAACTAGGCAATACTGATTATGTAAGGATGGTAATCATACATGGTGGGCAAAAGATATTACACAAATACTCAACAATGGTTGGTTATACATACAAGAACACAAGTGAGTATCACTGCCTATGCAAAAGCCCTTCAGGAAGGCTCTTTTGATGATTGTAATGCCCAGTGTCTTCTTTCTCTGAAATCACACTACTAAAATAGTCTAAATAATTTAAATTTGGGGCTGGGTGTGGTGGCTCACACTTGTAATTCCAGTACTTTGGGAGGCCGAGGTGGATGGATCACCTGAGGTCAGGAGTTCAAGACCAGCCTGGCCAACATGATGAAACCCCATCCCTACTAAAAGTATAAAAATTAGCTGGGTGTGGTGCCACGTGCCTATAGTCCCAGCTACTCAGGAGGCTGAGCCAGGAGAATTGCGTGAACCCGGGAGGCAGAGGTTGCAGTGAGCCGAGACTGTGCCACTGCACTCCAGACTGGGGGACAGAGGGAGACTCTGTCTCAACAAAACAAAACAAAAATAAAATAAAATATTTTAAAAATTAAAATTAGGTGTTTGAGCACCATTTTTAAAAATGTCTCATTGCAGTCTACTGTTGTTTTTTATTTTGTTAAAATCTAGTTTGCAAGACTGGACTATACTTCCTTTCAGTAAGTAAAGGATACCTTGCCTGTCTCATCCCTCTGTCAAAATGTTTCTAGTGCTGGATGCCCAAAGTATTCAGTAAAGAACTGCTGCACTTGGGAATCTAGTTACTACCTTCCTCTAGGACGTTAATAGCAACCAGTTTTGAAGCAACTGAGATGGGAATCTCCAACTCTTCCCTATCTTTAAAGGAAATAAAGGCCTCCTAGGGTATACTATATAAAAATTGAATTAGACCAAACCTGCAGAGAGCTTTTCTCTTTAAGAAAGCCCAGCTGTGTAAGGCTTCTAACTTTAGAAATTTAGGACCCTTGGCATATAGGATAAAAGGTGATTGAGTAACTCTTTGTCTCTGAAAACGCCATGTGAGAATTTGATAAAACATACCAGATAAATTGCATGATGCTTGTGTGTGTGTGTGTGTGTGTGTGTGTGTGTGTATGTGAGAGAGACAGAGAAATGAGACACAAAAAGTAACAGTGGAATAGATATATATATAATATATAATAATATATAATTGCATATATCATCACAAATAATATACATATATAAAACTAAAATCACTTCTTCTGCAAGTCCAAAAGAGAGAATGTAAATATAATGTTATGATTAACAGATTACTTGATAGAAAGATTAAGTCTAAGAGTACCAGTAAAGCAGGAATATCAAATAAATGACAGAAAATGATGAAAACAATTTTAAGCATCAAAATTTCTTGGAGAAACTCAGGTCTACATTGGCCTTTCTTCAGTTAATTTTATGACTTAGTTTTATTTCAGTTTTTGTTTTGAACTATATATGGTCCTCTTTTTGGTGATATGTGCCAAGGTTACAAGACTATGAATTTTCCTCTGAATAAGATTTTGGCTGCTTATGTTGTATTTTGAATCATCTATTTTTAAAATTTTAGTTCTAAGAGATCATATGGATCAGCATCCTCATTTGTAAGAGGAAAAATCAGAAAATCGAAGCCAGAAAGTGACTTGACCAATATCCCAGAGTAGTTTCCAAAATATATACAATTATGCTTGGTAAATATAAAGCGAAAAAAAACATCATTGTCTTTTGACTGTCTTTTGGAGGACCTAATAATATATTTATCCCTGCAATTATAATCAATTGAGCTATTGCTATTTTCAAGGAAGTTCTTTCTTAAGCAAATAAAAATGAAAAATCAAGCAAAAAGAATGGAAATAAAAAATTAAGCCAATAAATCAGCAACATCTGAGCTTCATTATTTCTAAATAGACAATTAAGGTAGATTCTAAAAAGAAAGGCCAAAGTTGTTTTTAATTACCTAGATAATTATCACTTTTTCAGAAGTATTTTGGCTGTGTAGATCTAAGCTTCCTAGGTTATATAATCTAGGATGTATTGACAAAATTAGCTATTTAATTTCCTTCCTTCAATGTCAGTTTTAAGAAGAAACTGCTGCATGATTATACATTCATAACTAGACATTTGTTTTGAAAAATCATCAGCTACTTTATGGCAATTCATTCCTTCTTTGCTATACAATCCTAATCATTATTATTGGCATATTCAGGTTTTTCTCTTTGGGAAGCTTAAAGAAATCTCAAAGAGACTAACTATATAGAGTTGACATGCCCTTTACAAAGTCTCATTAGGTGTCTCATTTGAAAAATATGAACCAAATGAACAAAGTACAGGTTTAATTTTGTTTCATTAGATTGTGAAGAGATCAACATGAATTAATTAGTGTTAACTACAACATGCTTCACTAATATCCTGCCAACACAAAAATTTCCTACAGTGCCAAGATGAGAGACATGTTCAGGATGACAAGAGAGAAATGTAAGTGAGTTGATGCAATTATTACAATTATTGCTGCAAAGAGTTTTAATTGAAAGGAGATTTTGCATTTTGGGGGTAATAAGTTCCATTAAGATCTTTGGCTAGATATTTAATTTAGTTTTAATGGCATAATTCATGTTAAACAGATGCAAAATAATTATTAAAGCATATTTATTGTTTTTATGCACCCAGGCTATAACATCTTAAAATGACAAAACAGGGACTTTTGAAGGGTAATTCAGCCACTTAGCCTCTCATTGAGTTGAAGTGATAAGTTGATAAGAAGCCTTGGATAAGATGACTTACCATTTACGTGGTGAAGAAGTTGTCCTTAGCAGAAACATCCTATTGGTAAGGTTTTGCCTTCAGGTATATTATGTCTCTAGGCATTTTAAATTGGGCACCTTTTCTTGGTAAAACACCTAGTGTATATGTGATGAAGTTTTCCAGCAACGGGAATGTTGTGTTCACTCTATGTATTGCAATGTAAGTCCAAACAGTGTTAGCAAATTAGTGGTAATATTTTGTCCTCTGGAGTTCCTAGGGAGCAAAATATACATGCCAATAAAACAGAGGCACAGTGCAAACTGCAGAGCTGAATAATATATATTTGTGTGTATGCCACATAAAAATTACACATTGCAGTGATTTCTAATGATTTTCCTGTGCCTCAGCACCACATCCAACAAAGAACTGTAATTCAGTCCTTACTCCTGTCAAATGTCCTCTGTTATACTACTAGCTGTCACTCAAAGACATCAGAGACTTAAATGACAGAGATGCACCCACTATACAGAAAAAACCATTAAATATGTCTTGATTACTTAGTATTTGCTGAACACATGCCTAACTTTTTTGGGAAATGAGGGAAAATTCCATGACTTAGCCCATTTTCTTGAATTTCTAATGATACATTCAGGGACTCAAACACATTACTATAAGAAAATAAGGTGGACGGATCACCTGAGGTCAGGAGTTTGAGACCAGCCTGACTAACATGGAGAAACCCCATCTCTACTAAAAAAAAATACAAAATTAGCCAGGCATGGTGGTGCATGCCTGCACTCCCAGCTACTCGGGAGGCTGAGGCAGGGGAATTGCTTGAACCCAGGAGGCAGAGGTTGCGGTGAGCAGAGATCATGCCAGTGCACTCCAGCCTGGGCAACAAGAGCAAAATTTCATCTCAAAAAAGAAAAAAAAAAAAAGAAAAAGAAAATAATTTGCATTTCTCTGATGATTAGTGATGTTGAACTTTTTAAAAATATGTTTGTTGGCTGCTTGTGCTTCCTCTTTTGAGAAGTGTCTGTTCATGTCCTCTGCTCAGTTTTTAATGGAGTTGTTTTTTATTTGTTCAATTATATAAGTTTCTTACAGATTCTGGTTATAAGATCTTTGTCAAATGCATTGTTTGCCAATATTTCCTCCCATTCTGGAGGTTGTCTGTTTACTCTGTTGGTAGTGTCTTTTCCTGTGCAGAAGCTCTTTCATTTAATTAGGTTCCACTTGTCAATTTTTGTTTTTGTTGCAATTGCTTTTGAAGACTTGGCCATAAATTATTTGCGAAGACCAATATCCAGAATGGTATTGTCCAGAATGGTATTCCCTAGGTTTTCTCCTAGGATTCTTACAGTTTGCAGTTAATCTTTAATCCTTCTTGAGTTAATTTTTGCGTATGGTGAAAGGCAGGGGTCCAGTTTCATTCTTCTGGATATGGCTAGCCAGTTGTCCCCGTACCATTTATTGAATAGGGAGTCCTTTCCCCATTGCTTATTTTTGTCAGCTTTGTTGAAGATCAGCTGGTTGTAGGTGTGTTCCTTCATTTCTGGGTTCTCTATTCTTTGGTCTATCTGTCTGTTGTTGTACCAGTGCCATGCTGTATTGGTTACTGCAGCCTTATAGTTTGAAGTCACGTGATGCCTCCAGTTTTCTTCTTTTTGCTTAGGATTGCTTTGGTTATTTGGGTTCTTTTTTGGTTCCATATGAATTTTAGAACAATTTTTTCTAATTCTGTGAAAAATGATATGGGTAGTTTAATAGGAATAGCACTGAATCTGTAGTTTGCTTTGGGCAGTATGTCCATTTCAATAATATTGGATCTTCCAATCCATGAGCATGGAATGTTGTTTTCATTTGTTTTTGTCATTTATGATTTCTTTCAACAGTGTTTTGTAGCTCTCCTTGTAGAGACTTTTCATCTCCTTGGTTAACTGTATTCCTAGGTATTATACTTTATTTTTTTGTGGCTATTGTAAATGGGACTGTGTTGTTGTTTTGGCTCTCAGCTTGAATGTTATTGGTGTGTAGAAATGCTACTGATTTTTGTACATTGATACTATACCCTGAAACTTTACTGAGGTCATTTATCAGTTTCAGGAGGCTTTTATCAAAAAGTCAAAAAATAACAGATTCTGGCGAGGCTTCAGAGAAAAGGGAAGGGACACTTATACACTGTTGGTGGGAATGTAAATTAGTTCAGCCACTGAGGAAAACATTTTAGAGATTTCACAAAGGACTAAAAATGGACTTACCATTTAACCCAGAAATCCCGTTACTGAATACTGAATATATACCCCAAAGAAGATAAGCTATTCTACAAAAAGGATACATGCCCTTGTATATTCATCACAGCACTATTCATAATAGAAAAGACATGGAATCAACCTAGGTGCCCATCAATAGTGGGTTGGATAAAGAAAATGTGGTACATATACACCATGGAATACTACACATTCGTAAAAAGTGTGAAATCATGTCCTTTGCAGCAACATGGATACAGCTAGAGGCCATTGTCCTAAGGGAATTAATACAGGAACAGAAAACCAAATACTGTGTGTTCTCACTTACAAGTGGGGGCTGAACATTGAGTACACATGGACATAAAGATGCAAACAATAAACACTGGACTAGAAGGGGGAGGTAAGGAGCTGGGCAGGTGCTGAAAAACTACCCTTTGGGTGCTATGCTCACTACTTGGGGTAGGGACCATTTGTCCTCCAAACCTTAGTGTCACACAGTAACCCCATGTAACAAACCCACACATGTACCCCCTGAATCTAAAATAATAGTTGGAATTATAAATTAAAAAGAAAAGAATTTTATGCTAAGCACTTCCATGATGTGAGATGACAGTCAGCTTTGACTTGGACAGTTTGGGAAGTCGTCAATGAAGGAGTAAATTGTAGGTGCAGAAATTGGATAGGCAGGGGGATGGAAGAATGTTTCAGAACAGGAAATGATAGGAGGATTGGAGGTGACTTTGACATGCTTATGAGACAGTGACTAGAAGCAAATTCTCATATGGGGGAGTAATAGAATATCAGATGGATGGAGTACAGACTATGAGTTATCTTGGTGGCAGAGAGGAGGAAACCAATATATGAGGAATAACAGTCACCCTGTGATATTCTTAAAAGATGGCTTCTAATTCAAAAGCATAGCTCCTTCCTCAAAGTGAAGCTTTTTAAACGTAAGTCATTGTCAAGATAGACTTAGGCTTCCCAGGCACTGGGATTTGCTAAAGTGAAGTCTCCAGGAGTTTTCATCCACATCTTAGGGTTGAATTTCCAAACCTGATTTCCCCGAAGAAGAATGGCATAGAGTGCTCCAAACTTCAGCAAAATAAAGATATTTTTACAAAAAAATTGTTGAAGGGATACAATGGCCCCAGAGAATTAGGACCAATATGATTTGTTTAGAAAGAATTTGAAAATATATTGGTTGGTGTGACTTGAATAATGGTAGAGGACTGCCACCATCACACCACACCACCACCATTGCCATCACTTTACAAGCCAAATTGAAACATCAGAGTTCTCAAGAGTCTATAATTTGGAGAATGATCGACTTTATAAAATTATTTATGCTTATGGATGCTAACAATGAAACAAGTCTTTTAGTAAAAAGATCCTATGGCAGCCCTATGAAAACAGAATTTTATCTCCACAGCTTCATATACTTTAGAACACAAAGAATTTGGGAACATTTTAGTGTCTACTTTAAAATTATGAAAAAATATTTAAATATTTGTGGACTGCTCAAATTTAGAAAAAGTTAAAATATAACTTTAATAAATAAAATATAACTATAATAAATAAATTTTTATATAACTTGTTAATTGTATATGCTAAATTTTCATTTATTTTTAAAATTATTATTTTAGAGCAGTTTTAGATTCACAGAAAAATCAAGAGGAACTTACAGACATTTCCCATATATCCCCTAACCCCATATTAACATTTCCTGCCAGAGTGGCACATTTGTTGCAATTGATGAACCTGCATTGACACATCACAATCACCCAAAGTCCATGAGTTCACTCTTGCTGTTGTACTTTCTGTTGGTTTGGACAAATGCACAATGACATGTGTCTATTATTATAGCCTCATATAGAGTATTTTCACTACCCTAAAAATCTTCTGTAGTCTATCTATTCATTTCCCCATTTCCAACCCCAACTCCTGGCAAACTCTGATCTTTCTACTGTATCCATAGTTTTTCCTTTTCTGGAATGTGATATAGTTTGAATCATAAAGCATGTAGCCTCTTCAGATTTGCTTCTTCACTTAGTAATATACATTTCAGATTCTTCATGCCTTTATATAATTTGAAAATTTGTTTTGGGTGCTAAATGTTCCATTGTCTTGATGTGGCACAGTTTATTTGTTCACCTACTGAAGGATATGTTAGCTGTTTCTATGTTTGGGCAATTATAAATAAAGCTGCTCTAAACATTTGTATGGAAGTTTTCTTGTGGACATAGTTTTAAACTCCTTGGGGTAAATATCAAGGAGTATAATTGCTAGATTGTGTGGTAAGAGTATATTTAGCTTCATAAGAATCTGCCAAACTATTTTCCAAAGTGGCTGTACCATTTTGCGTTCCACCAGCAATGATGCATTTCTGTTGTCATGCATCCTTACCAGCATTTGGTGTTGTTAATGTTCTGAATTTTGGACATTCTAACAGGTGTTCAGTAGCATCTTATTGTTTTAATTTGCATTTATTTTCCTGATGACATATGTCATCCATCTTTTCATATGCTGTGACATTTCTATGTTTAGAGACACAAATACTTACCATTGTGTATTGCATATAGTATTCAGTACAGTAACATGCTGTACAGGTTTGTGACCTGGGAGTAACAGGCTATACCATATAGTCTATGTGTGTAGTAGCCTATACCATCTAGTTTTAAGTATACTCTATGATGTTTGCACAATAACAAATCACTGAATGACACATTTCTCTGAATATATTCTCATTATTAAGTGATGCACAACTGTACAGATATATATACAGTCATGTATATATAACAAATATATATAATCAAATATGTCACTGCTATTATTTTGAGCAAACTGTTATCTGTTAGATCTATTAGGAATAAGAAAAATAAGTTTTTATTTTACTTTCACTTCTTCAATGCTCTTCTTTTCCTTAGATCTGAGTTGCTGACCTATATTATTTGTGGTGAAAATATTTAAAATCTACTCTGTATTAGTCTGTTTTCATGCTGCTGGTTAAGACATTCCTGAGACTGGTAAGAAAAATAGATTTAATGGACTTAGTTCCATGTGGCTGGGGAGGCCTCAATCATGGTGGAAGGCAAGGAAGAGCAAGTCACATCTTACATGGATGGTAGCAGGCAAAAACAGATAACTTGTGCAGGGAAACTCCCCCTTTTAAAACCATCAGATCTCATGAACTTACTAACTATCATGAGAACAGCACAGGAAAGACCTGCTCCCATGATTCAATCACCTCCCACTGGATCCCTTCCACAACACATGGGAATTGTGGGAGTTACAACTCAAGATGAGATTTTGGTGGGGACATACCAAACCATATTATACTGTTTTAGCAATTTTGAAATATATGGTGTATTATTATTTATTATAGTCACCATTCTGTGCAATCTACCACTAAAGCTTATTCCTTTTGTCCAACTGAAACCTTGTACCATTTGACCATCTCCCCTTTTCCTTCCTATCCCTCCCTCAGGCTCTAGTGACCATGATTCTACTCTCTACTTCTATGAGGCCAGCTTTCCATATTCCATGTATAAGTGAGATCAGATGGTATTTTTCTTGGGCCTGGTTTACTTCACTTAGCATAATGCCCTCCAGATTCATCCATGTTGTCTCAAAATAATAGGATTCTCTACCTTTTTAAAAGCTGAATGTTATTCCATTATATGTGTGTATATGTATGTGTGTGTATAATATATATACATTACATATATGTTGTATTAGTCCATTCTTGCATTGCTGTAAAGAACTACTTGAAACTGGATAATATATAAAGAAAAGAGGTTTAATTGACTCACAGTTCTGTAGGCTGTACAGAAGCATGGCTGCGGAGGTCTCAGGAAACTTATAATCGTGGTGGAAGGCAAAGGGGAAGCAGGCATGTCTTCACATGGCGCAGCAGGAGAGAGAGAGAGAATGGGTAAGTGTTACACACTTTTAAACAACCAGATATCATGAGGACTTAGCTACTGTGAGAACAGCAAGGGGAAGCCTGTTCCCATGATCCAATCACCTCATACCAGGCCCCTTCTCCAACATTAAGGATTACAATTAGACATGAGATTTGGGTGGGGACACAGAGCCAAAACAAATTTTATATATAAATATATATATATATATAACATTTTTTATTTGTCTAATAATAGACATCTAGGTTGCTTCCATATTTCAGCTATTGTGAATAATGCTGCAATAAACATGGGAGTGCAGGTATCTCTTCAGCATACAGATTTCAGTTTTTTGGGATATATACCCAGAAGTTGGATTACAGGATCACAGGAAAATTCTATTTTTGCTTTTCTAAGGAACCTCCATACTATTTTCCATAATGGCTTTATTAATTTACATTCCTACCAACCGTGTACATGGGTTTTCTTTTCTCCATGCTCATGCAGTTGCTCATGCAGACTAGAGTTGCTATCTCTCATCATTTTTTAAAAAAGTGTAACAGACTATCAGGCATGAGGTGATATTTCATTGTGGATTTAATTTGCATTTCCCTGATGATCAGTGATAATAAGTATTTTTTATGTATCTATTGGCCATTTGTATGTCTTCTTTTGAGAAGTGTCTATTTAGGTCCTTTGCCATTTTCTTATTTTTTTATTTGTTTTCTTGTTGTGGAGTTGTTTGAGTTTCTTATATATGTTAGATACTAGCCTCTTATCGGATCGATGGTTTGCAAATATTTTCTTCAAATCTGCAAATTGTCTCTTCACTCTATTAGTTGTTTCTTCTGCTTTTTAGTTTGATGCATTTCCATTTGTTTTGTTTTTTTGTTTGTTTTTTGTTGCTTCAGCTTTTGGGTTCATATCTAAGAAATCTTTGGCCAGAACAATATTGTTAAGTATTTTCTGTGTGTTTTCTTCAAATAGCTTTACAGTTTTAGTTAACAATTCTTGCAAGGCAGGTTTACTGACCACAAAGTTTCTCAATATTTTTTTGAGACAATCTTTATTTATCCTTCTCCTTTGAAGAATAAATTTACAGGGTACAAAATTCTAAGTTGATAGCTTTATTCTCTCAACACTGTGTTCACTCCACTCTCTTCTTGCTTGCATGGTTTCTGAGGAAACATTAGATGTAATACTTACCTTTATTTCTCCGTAGATACGGTAGTTGCTCTCCTCCCCTGAGTTGCTTCAAAATTTTATCTTTATCTGCGATTTTCTGTAGTAAAAAGATGATATGCCTAGGCAGTTTTTTGTTGTTGTTGTTGTTGATGTTTTATTTTTTGACATTTATTTTGCTTAGTGTTCTGTGAACTTCCTAAATCTGTGATTAATTTGGAGAAACTCTCACTCATTATTGTTTCAATTATTTTTTCTGTTTCTTTCTCTCTTTATTGTCCTTCTGGGATTCACGTTATATAAACATTATAACTTTTGTAGTTAGATGTTCTGTTCTGTTGTTGTTGTTGTTGTTGTTGTTGTTACTGTTGTTGTTGTTTTGGTATTCATTCTCTTTTTCAATGTTGGATGTTTCAATTGATATATCCTGAAACTCAGAGATTATTTTCTCAGCTGTCTAGTCCCCTAATAAGCCTATCAAAGTAATAATTTCTATTACAGTGTTTTTACCTCTAGCATTTCTACTTGATTCCTTCTTAGGACTTTCATCTCTCTGTTTACATTGTCCATCTCTTCTTGTATGCTGTCTACTTTATTAAATTTCTTAACACATTAATTATAGTTTTTTTTCAAATTCCAAATTTGATCATTTCAATATACATGCCATGTCTGGTTCTGATGCTTGCACTGCCTCTTCAAATTGTCTTTTTTGCATTTTTGTATATTCTGTAATTTCTGTGTTTTGTTGTTTGTTGTTTGTTTGTTTGTTTGTTTTGATAGGCATATCATACCATGTAAAAGGAACTGCTATAAATAGGCCTTGAGTAATGTGGTGGTGAAGTTGTGAGGGGAAGGGAAATGTTCTATAGTCCTATAATTAGGTCTCAGTCTTTACCAGGCCTAGGACTCTGGTCTGTGAAATTCAGAAGAGTTTCTCATTTTTTTCCCCTTAAGTGGGACAGAATGCTAAAGCAGGCTGGAGTGTTGGGCATTTCCCTTCCCCCAGGCTAGGTGGGCACTGATAATACCTGACAAATTAGGCTCCACTTAACTAGTTTCTTCTGAGGGAGAACCTTGTTAGGAAGAGCAGCATACTCTGGCATATTTCACAATGGTTCCTTTTCCTTACTGGAAAAAAAGAGGATTTTTTTCGCCAATATTTACTGTGAAAACCTGACTGAGCTCCTTCCTGGTGGTATCATTCACAAAAGGGTGGCTTCCCCCTATGACTGGGTCCCCCTGGAAATTTTACCTCTTAGATTTGTCTCTCCACACTGAGCTTTCAGAAATTCATCAGTTACAGTTCAGGTTTTCCTACCCTGACACTGCTTCCCTTGGCCACTTCCCCTCCTGAGTCTCTGCTCCTTGCATTTGCCTGTCTGTCTCTCCAGTCTTGGGGACAGCAGTTTGCCCTGTGTCCTCACTCTATAATGGATCTAGAATTGTTTATTTTTCAGTCTGTTCACCTTTCAACTTATTGCTAGGATTGAGTAGTGCAACCTTCCTACATGTGGAATCAGGAACCTGATGTCAAATTTCATTTAACTTTACTTACTTGCAGTAGCAGTTATGTTCTTTGCTTGTTTTTCTACCACCCAGGAAAAAAGCAATATTAGTCCCGTTTTATATATTAGATTCCGCCCTACTTCTGTCACTTAAAACTGACAAACTTCCATATTGTTTCTCTGTTTTGACACCCTCTCCTTCCTCAACCCACCCCCATTTGTATCCTCCTCTTTAACTTATATGTTAGAAGAAATATATTTATTATTTTTCCTTTTAAATAAATAATTGTTTATACCTCTTGCTATGTTTTTAAAACTAATGGTTGAGTGATTATTATTTTTATAATCTTAAAAAATGAATTCACTAGCTATTTACCTGTGAAACTACTCACTTGTTTTGCTCCAAAAAAAGACACTTCCTCTTTAGACGTTAATAGTAGAAAAGATATTTCTTTCTTTTATTATTATTATTATTATACTTTAAGTTTTAGGGTACATGTGCACAATGTGCAGGTTAGTTACATATTGTATACATGTGCCATGCTGGTTTGCTGTACCCATTAACTCATCATTTAGCATTAGGTATATCTCCTAAAGCTATCCCTCCCTGCTCCCCCCACCCCACAACAGTCCCCAGAGTGTGATGTTCCCCTTCCTGTGTCCATGTGTTCTCATTGTTCAATTCCCACCTATGAGTGAGAATATGCGGTGTTTGGTTTTTTGTTCTTGCGATAGTTTACTGAGAATGATGATTTCCAATTTCATCCATGTATTTATTTCTTCTTTTCTTGTAAATAGCACTTTAACCAAAAGAATCATGTTTACAAACACACCCTCATGTATTTTGTAAGCAAGCTTCACATCCTAGTTTTAAGACAGAAACTCACTTCCATACATAGAGTAGATAATTGCCTAGAACCAGGTTTTTATTATCTATCATCATCCTTATTAAAGCAGACAAAGGGTTTTCCTATCTTCTGTGTGTGCTAAGTATCATCTGACAGAGTCAGGAAATAGATCTGAATTCCCAGAGTTGCCATGTGAAGGGCAGACAGAGGACTCCGTTCCCACGTCTGCTGCCATCCCCTTTCATCCTGGCTGTGGCCTTCTTTTGGCGGTTTGCCATCACAGAGGGTCAGAAGCTACAGTCAGCTTCTGAGTGTAATGTCTGTGCTCTGTTTACGACATTTCACTCACCATAACAAATGGGACTTGGTCAACCTCACTGTATTCTGACCATTCCTGGTGGGTTTCATCATTTAATTCTTTGACCAAAAGTACATTCCTGAATATATGTCTGTCAGGATACTCCTGCTGAAATGCTGAAAATTTAATCCTAAGTTAGGTAGATGCTAGAAATGGAACTTTAAAAATAAAGTAACAAAATGCATTTTAGGATGTTAAATTCTAATTTTTCCCCTTTCAGATGAATCATTGACTTGTCAGTCTATTAGCAGTGTATCATGCCTCTCAGATTGCTCTGGGTCTCTTCAACAATTAAATTCTCAGCCCATACTCTGCTAATGTCAATATTCCTTTTTTCTTCTGTGTATCACCATCTCTCTTCCTGTATTAGACTCTATTTAAGAAAAGTATTCCATCTTAATTGACTGCCATCGCCCTTGTGTAAACCTTCTCTGTCTTTCCCCTTCCTTCACCTTATGAAATATTTCTGTTAAAAATTCATCTATTCAATACATATTAACTGGTTATCTCATTTCTTTTGTTTTTCAAGTACAGTACTTCAAGTTGTTGTTGTTGTTATTTAATAATTACCTTTTGCTCACATAACTGAAAAGTACCAAGAATAGCCTCATGTGTGGGTGTACCTAGGGTGTGGGAGAGAGGTTTACAATGATCTTATCTCCTTTCTCTAGCTTCATCTCTCTTTGTCTGTCTCTCTCTTTCTATCATTTCATGTGATTACAGGCCCTGCTTCTTTTGGAGTATTAGCCTCAGTGTCTTATTTAAAATGTTTTATTTTTCCATGCAATGGGGAGAAAATAGCCATAAGATGTTCATCTTGGGTGTCCTTAGAGCTTTGACTCTAGAATAAAAAAACATCTTTCTCCATGCTATCTAAATAATAGGGCTTAGTCTTATACCCATCACTAGGTTTAAAGGGTCCAAGAACAGACACAACAGAATCACATAAAATGAGTCCTATGTGGCTCCTAAAAGAAATAATTTTAGAAAACACACTACAAATGGGCTCATAATATTAGACCCTGGCATACAGAGGTAAAAGACATACCTGTTAAGGAACGTGTATCTGTGGAGGAAGCAGACAAAAACAATTCTAATTTTCTGTGATAGTTACTTAATATCCTTATGCTCAGAGTATTCTGGGAGTGCAGATGACTGCAAACCAGAGGAGGGATCACAAAAGGATTCCTGGGGGAACTAAGTCTTGCAGAACGCTTAGGGGTTTGACAAGCAAAGAAAGTTGATGTGGGAATTGCAAATATTTGTAAGAACATGAGAAAAATACTGCAGACAAGAGATCCTGATGTGGTCTAAGATCAGCAAGCAGTTCTGGGTTAAAGGGGAGGGAGCAGAAGAGGGAAGAGAGAGAGAGAAGGATGAAATTGGAGAGGTAGACAAAAGCTAGATCTTCAAGACTAAAATTCACAGCCCTAAAAACAGCATGCTACAGGGAATCATTAAAACTTATAACATAATCATATTTATGTGTTCATAAAAATAAGTCTAGGAACAGTAGAAAGAATGAAACTGGGTGTAGGTAAAAGGAGGGCAGAGAGAGCTTTCAAAGGGCAGCTGTACTGATCTCTACGAGAATTTACAGGGAAAAGGAGTAGCTGTCAGGAGGGGACTTGAAGACAAAACTGGGTGACACATTGGGTAGGTTAGGACAGTACCTACACTGGTGTCTAGGTTTGGAAGGATGATAGAATAGGGGAGGGATGATAGAATGAAATCAAGATGAAAAAGGCTGCATAAGGAATAATATTGACTAATTACTTACTGTAAGTCTGCTCAACAAGCCTGCTGCCCTTTAAACTACCTTAAGCAACTACCTTAAGCAAATATCATTTGATATTCCATTTTTTCTTCCTCTGAATTTACTGAAATTCAACATCTTTTAGCCTAGAAAAAAACCTGAATTTTACATGATTTAGTCTAAAACTAAGGCCATGGCTAGGTCCAAAAATCAGTGCCACTCAAAATGGTATGATGTGTAGGTGGATGTAATCCTGGATCTGATGGAGAGTTCTGACAGAGAAATCCTGGCAAAGAAACAAGGACACAAAAGAACTGAGCATCTGGCAGAAGAGACCATGCACTTTAAGTTAGTTATAGCCAAAGATGCAGAATGCACTGACGATTTACAAATGCAATTAGAAAATTGTGAAGCCGGTCAGCTTTAAATTGTGGATTTGCATGTCCACTTGTCTATCTTTTATATGCATTTCATTCTTTCTCCTCAAAAACACTTCTTTCTGTTTTAAAGCTTCTCATCTCAAAGCTTCAGGTTTTGGAAGAAAGATTAAGCATGAGATAGCCAACACTAATTCAGTTCTCTTTAATAAATAAAAGTGGTTAAAATAAATAAAGCCAAGAGGTATTGAACTTTTCTTTCTCTCAGTCTTTCTCTTTGATTTCACTCCTGTCTCTCCTCTCCTGCTCTCTCCCAATTTCCCTTTCACTCTTCTTGGTCAAGATATTTGCTTTCTTTACAGAATAAACAACTGAAGTCCTCATAGACTGACTGCTTGCCTTGACATTCCACAGAAAAGGCAAGCCATTAATCATGAGGTAGTCACCTGAACTACTCCTCAAAGATGAGCAAGAGAATAAGGAAGCATTTATAGGATGATAGATCATTGTCACTGATTCCTGTCTATGGGGACAGAGGGCCATACCGTTCACATGAAGTACCATTGCAAAGGAAGCAAGGATGAAATCAGCCAAATCTTCAGCTGATATTCTCTGAGCTACAGCTAAGAAACCTAAGGAAAACCAGTTTCTGAAGCCCCAGTTGTACCCCACCACCCACAAAAAAAAAAAAAAAAAAAAACCTCCTTCCAGCTCCTTGACTATTTGATCCATCTCTGGCCTCTTAATTTCATTAATCCTTAGCTCTTCTCGAGGTGTTCACATACTAGGCCCCTCTCAGTCTTCTCCCTTTTGAATATATCAACTGATCTTCTTGCCCATATCCTTTGGTCAAGGCCAGTTCAAAATGTACTTCCTCCAGACAATCTCCCCAGATTATCTTTACCTTAATAACATCTTTTTCAATTAAGAATACTTTGAGGTTGTATGTGTAAAACTACACCTTTCTATGTGTAACTATTTGTCTACTGTTCTGCATTATCATTCTAGCTCATTCATTTGGCAGCTATGAGACCAAACACTTGTATGTGGGTACAAGCTCTGTGCTAATCACTGGTGATACAGTGTGTATTAAATGAGATATGCTCCTGCATCTCAAGGAATTCACAGCTTAGTGGGGATGCACTAAGTAAACTAACAACATTCATCCAGGGAGATACATTCCAGCTGGAAATACATACAAGATACTATGAGAGCTCAGAAGATGTGTGTGAATTTCAGACAGGGGAGTCAAGAGAGGCTTCCTGGAACATATGATGCCTCAATAAGTTTAAAATGGACAAGAAGTATTAGCTTCTGGGAGGTAAAAGTGAGGCACTCCAGAAGACTTGAAGCAAGACAAGCTATTGAGGGAAATTTGCGCAGTTTGGCATGGTTGCAGCAGAAAATGCATGTAGTCAGTGGTGAAAAATAGGCCCAAGAAAATCCAATAGAAGGGCTCTAATTTTTAAATACATCAAAATTTTTAAATACATCACCTAGAGAATTTACTAAGCTATAGATTCCTGGCCAGGTCCAGGAAACTTGGTTCCGTGGGGCTCAGTATCCACGTTTTTAACAAGCTGTCTTTATGAAGCATTGTTCTGGATCTTGAAAAGTATTGAATGCTAAGGCAAAGACTTTAGAAAAGGATTCTGAAAGATTTGAGGAGCCATTGAAGGGTTTTATGTAGGAGAAAGACAAGATCCATGCGTTCAGCAGAAGTTGACATAGAGGGGACCCAGACTGAAGACTATTTGGAAGGCAATTTCAGCGATCCATTTGCTATACTTATACATGATAAATATTATATCTTACTGCTACTTTTTTATCCCCCAAAGCAGTGTTTCTAAACTACATCATATCACGATGCCCTGAGATGTTGGAAAATAAACATTCCTGGGCTTCATTTCTTACATATCAGAATCCCTGGGGTGGGTCCCATTGATCTTGCTATTTTCACAAGTTCCTTAAATGAGTCTTATGTACCACAATGTGTCTCTAGAGCATTGCAGAGTGAACTGGGTTGGTACCTTTCAAACCAGCCCTTTAGGTGAACACAATGGGCTCTAATCTGAATGCTTTCCAGCATACAAGCCAGAATTCATAACTTCCGCATCATCCCTGAAGTCTTTGTGTCATAATATTCTGTCACCGGAATAGTATCTCCACATAGCAGGTAGTTGCTATCCCCATAGCAGTTTAAAAACAAAACAAAACAAAATACTCTTCTGCAAACTTTCTAGGCTCATGATAAAAGAACAGCAGCCTCTGAAATTTACATGGAAGTAACCGCATATTAAGATGTATCTTTGAGAAAAGCTGCCAATGCTGCTGTGAAGCTTAAGAAGCTTTTCGCTAAAACGAAATCAGGTAATTCGTTTTGAATTAAAGTTAAGCACTTGGCTTAGTTCTCTTTCATTTTTCTGCTTGTAAATCTCTGACTAAATTCATTAGGTGGGTGTTTAAAACTGGCAGCCGTCCTGACACAGGAGGCCATGCGGCAAGCTGGGTGTGGAAGGTGAAATTAGAACAAAAGTTAGAATCTGCTGTTTGGGAAAAGCAGGCTGTTTTTTCTCTTCTCCCCTTCCTCATCCCTCAGCGTGCCCACAACTGGCTGCCAAGACCTTCCTTATTGAATGCTTCATCCCTGAGTCCCAGAGCTGACTTTTTGTTTTTTTCTGTTATAGATAAGTAAGGTAGGACAAATGCATAAATAATAAAAAGGAAGCTCAGCCATTTCCACTCACAAGGTTAACTGCATGCGCAGTTGCAGTTGATCTTACAATCAAAAGCCAGACCGAGTCAGAGTGTTCAGGCCAATGACAGCAGAGAGCCTGGCCACAGCGGCAAGAATCAGAGGTGCTGAGATTCCATCAACTCCAGGCACTAGAGCAAAGACCCTTGTGCTAAAATTAATCTCTTTTCCTTGCTCCCTCCTTTTCTCTATGCTTCCTCTCACCCTTCCTTCCTTCCTTTCTTTCTTACTTCAGTATTAATTAAACACCTATCATGTGCTACTTAGGCAACTGAACTGTTTAGGCAAAGTGAACTGTTTGGGCAAAAATCCCTGCCCCCTTAGGGAGCTTGCATTCTAGTGGAGAAAACAGATGATATACAAGTAAAACAATTAATGAGCAAAATAATTATAGACTGGGACACATGTTACAAAGTAACAAAACAGAATGTCCTGGTGAAGGATAAGAGAGAGGGCCTTAGGGTGGAGATGGCCAGGAGTATTAAACTCAGACATGCAGCATGACAAGGAGCCAAGAAAGCTTGTGGAAGAGGGTTCCTGGGAGTAGTTAGTGTGAGTGGAGGCTCCTGGCATTATGCTTCCAGGATTTGTGTAGAACTTGTTAGTCTCTTGGAAACAATCCACTTCTATTCTTTTTCATTCCTTTTCAAAAAAAAAAATTACATTTTCTAAGCGTTCTAAGTGGAAAGTTCACAGGGATGTGTAAAGAAATCTCTGGAATGAAGAGATTGCTTTCATCCGTTTTTCTTGAACGTTTAAGACATGAGTAACTGGAGTGGGTAAGGATCAAGTCTCCTTCAAAAACACCAGTAGAAGAACTTGGTGGCAGCAAAGCTGTTCCCTTGCCATAATTACCCTTCTAAGTCCTATACTCAGCACAATCCCTCCTAGGGTTGACTGCCAGAAAGAGGGAGTCAATCTTGTTGTCTGCAGTGATAATACGGGCTCAGTTATTCGAGTCCTTGAAATTTGTTTGACCTGAGGATTAAGGCAATTTAAAGCACAATTTGTTTTTATTCTGGGATGAGGGTGTGGGGGTCCTGAATACTGAATTGTGGCAACTTTGAAATACCAGCTGGACCCTGATAGGACCAAGATTGGTACAACCCTTTGCTGCTCTGATTTGTGCCTGTCACCTCAATGCAAGGTGATGTGAGTTGACACCAATTAGCCGGTGCGCACAAAAGTCATCTCTTTCTTTAGTTAGCAGTAACCATAGAGTGTCATGCACCTCTTCAAACATGACAAGTGAAATACAACTCATTGACTTCCTTAATGCACATCAAGTCTGACAGGTGGTGATTTACGGGGAGATGCTTGAAAAGCGGAAAATATGATTGGCCACAAACGGAATCAGGGATAATAAAACCTCTCGATGTTTGGACCAGATGAAATAACCAGGCAAAATGTAAGCGTATTACTGCCCAAAGCATGAACTCGCAAGGTGCCTGTAAACATCCTCTACATCTCAGGGGACTCATTGATGTAGGAAGAGGTACAACGCTTCCCGGATGATTCCCGGGGCTGAACTCTTTCTTGTGCAGAGAAGATTGACACATTGACTGACTTCCAGAGAACATGTAAGTTTATAGCCTTCAGAAGCTTTCAAAAATTGAGAGCATTCTCATGAAGAAGCAACAAACAAAAACCTAAGAGTGACTTTGATGGCCATCGTTTTACAATTTATAAATGTGTGCATTTGTTTGAAATCATGAACCCCAGTGCATAAAAGCAGGAACATGCATCATAACAAACACTATTTTATCATGCCTCTCATTGCCAGAGCTGAACTAAAACTCTGCTATTCCGTGCTCTCTCCCAGCCTAGGAACTAATGGGATCTCCCATTTCCTTAAGATCCCAAGAGTCCTCAACCCAAAATTCTTTTCAATTCATGCCTCCCTATGCAAACTTCTCTTTATGAAATCACATCTTGTAGTTATACTGGTCCTCTTCTTATTTATAATGTGACACCTACTACAAAATTTTATGCAGTTTTAAACAGAATAAATGTATATTAGAAAGACAAAGAAAGATTCCCCAGGAGATATTTTAAGGTAAAGAAAAGCCAGGTGTACAACAATATATATTACATAACCCTGTTTTTTTTAAAGACTGTATTTATATACTTATTATGTTAATGGAATATGTTAAATCCCAATGAGGAGGAACCTTAAGCTTTTTCTTTTGTATACTTCTGAATTTAGAACATTTACAATTAGCATGTATATGCATGTATTGATTATGTAAACATATATAGATATATTTTACTAACAAGAACTCAGGATCTGTAATGGTACCTTGGAAGACAACAAAGACTGCAGCATTTGTTTCTTCATAGTACTAGCTAAATAAAGCTATAAGAAACAAAAGGAGAAAAAAATGAGTCAAAGGAAAAATAAGAGTAAAAATGGAGCCAACATAATGTTCATAAGACCCCCGCCAAATTCACAAGCTTCCACCAAAATCCCAGAGAACCATAACTCAAGGGAAAAATGATTTACATATCCAACCTGAACAAGTTTGTTGAAAAGAAATAGACTAGTCAACGACACGTCCTCCTCAGTCTTTTTCAATATTTACAGAAGGAAGTTTATCCTTTATTCCAACCAGCTTGAGTAATGACATGTTTAACTGGAGTCAGAACAGAGCGACACTCCAACTCTTAAATTCAAACTCAAAAACTCAGTTGATAGAAATGATATTTATGACCCGTTGCCTGAAGGAATGACAATTCTACCACTTCCTTCAATCAGCATTTCCTAAGCATGTTTTTGGGACATAAATTTCACAACATGTCCAATGAAGAAATAATTATTTGGTCAAGTTTGACAAATGCTACATATTATATTTCTTCCTTCCCACCCCCAGAGATTCAGAACACACACGATATACAAAAACCTCTGAGAACTCATAAAGGAAAGAAAAAGCTTTTAATTTATTAACCTATAATTTTCCAAACCTATTTGACAAAGAGCCATTTTTATGTAAAATCTTGTGAAACATACTTGAGACACACTATTCCAGCTATTCCCAATGTACTTCTAGTTTATAATCCCCAAAACACCTAACTCAATCCTGTTGCTTTACCTATTCCACCTGCTACTCTAAAGAACTGCAATTACTAAACTGAAAGTCTTCTTGATGCTTTCTACTTCTTTACATCTATGTACTTTGAAACTTGTTATTTTGATCAATGGGGAATTTTTTTTTTTTTTTTTTGAGACAGAATCTTGCTCAGTCACCCAGGCTGGAGTGCAGTGGCATGATCTCGGCTCACTGCAATCTCCGCCTCCTGGGTTCACGCCATTCTCCTGCCTCAGCCTCCCGAGTAGCTGGGACTACAGGCGCCCGCCACCATGCCTGGCTAATTTTTTTGTATTTTTAGTAGAGACAGGTTTTCACCATGTTAACCAGGATGGTCTCGATCTCCTGACCTTGTGATGTGTCCACCTCAGCCTCCCAAAGTGCTGGGATTACAGGCATGAGCCATCGCTCCTGGCCTCAATGGGGAAAATTTTTAAATTTTAGCTAGTACTATAAATAGGCACAACGATGAATTTCTTTCATAGATTTTTTTCGAAGATAATCCTCAAAACAATCCTATAACGTGAGAATTGTTGTTCCTAATTAGTGATGAGAAAAAGGGCCTGAAGGAGTTCAAATAACCTCATTCAAAATAACGGTGTGAATACATTACAGAGCTTGGAGTCAAACCTAAGTCCCTGGGCAAATGACTCAACCATCATTTAAGCTCTGCATCTAAGATAATCCATGAAGGACAATTCTCTACCACAAGTAGTTTGACTTGTAAACACTTTTCTATTGTTTGTTTTTATTTTTAATATTTTGTTCACTGTGTGTTGTAAAATGGGTGTGTTTCCCTCTTTCCATTGGTGCCCAAACACCTGCAGTCCAAAGTGTGTTCTAGCGGATGTACAGGAGCTCAAGACATCTCTGTGACGGACCAGTCTTACAAAGGCTCTGTCTGACATTTTTACTCTTATTTTCCTTTGCCTCATTTTGCCTCATGTATTTCTCATCAGCTTTAATTCTTTTGATTGTTATGCTATACAAATATAATGTGGCAAGGTAACAGAAGCATGGTGCATCTCTTACACTTTCTACACATCCCTTCACTGTCATAGACTTTTTCTCTCCAGCTGCATCATCATAAAATATCATCATGAAAATGAGCTGGAATTGAGATCTAGTAATAAACATACTTTTTTACTAGAGAGCTTTACTCCTAGTCAATTAGCATACGCTGTATCACATGGGAGAAAATTTGTCAAGTGCTCAGTTTGTCATTGACAGATAAGTAAAAGGTACTTGATGTAAATTGCATTTCCAAAACTCATTTCACTTAGCACAGCTCAGGAAGGACCTTGAGACTGCAATCTAAAGATAGCAATGAGTGAGTAACATGGCAGCACTTTCCATTTATATGGACATCTTTCTCCAGAGAGCACTTTGCAGGTGTCCTATTTACTCCTCCCCGTTACACTCGTTTGGTTGCACCAATGTGTTAGGAGAGCATTGAAACCCGAGCAAACGTTAGTAGCAGCTCCCCAGAGCACACTGCTTACACTGTGTTAAGAGCCCTGGCTCAAACCAAGCTCAAACAAGCATTATTTGCCCTGCATGAGGAAAGGCCCGCATTTCAAAGATGGTTGCTCATGTCAGAAGCTAATCTGGTTCACCTGGGCAGCAGGATAGCACATGACCTCGTGGTCATCTGTTCTAGTTATCAGAATAACCAAACTGAAGATCAGATTTAGGGTACAAATATTCAACTGATATTTAAAATACAGATATACACCAAAAAGAAGACATACAGCACCAAAGCAGTCTTCCGGGCCATGGTAACCTGAGTGAATTATTTCCAGACTTGAATATGTACACACACACACATACACACTGTATGAATGTATGTATGCATACATATTTGTGTGTATATATGTATGAAGGTTACCTTTACAAATCAATCCCAGGAGTGAGGATTCCACACTTCCACTCAAGTACCTGGTAGACTTGTATTACTATTTCCCCATATATGGCCCCTTTCCCTGGAGGAAGATTTTATTTTCCTACCACCTTGAAGTCAGGCTTGGCTGTGTCACTTGCCTTGGCCAGTGAAATATGAGGAAACTGATGTGAGATACTTACATATGAAAATGTTAAGAGCCGGTGCATGATTCACCATGTTCTCTTTTTTCCTCTCCATGACAACTGCTCTTTTCAGCCTAAGCTTTAAAATGATGACAATGACGGTGCAGTAGCAGAGCACCCAGCCAGCCCTCTGTGGACATGTATGGTGAGCAAGAAATAAACCTTCGTTGTTTAAAATCACTGAGATTTGGGGATTGTTTGTTATCAGCATTACCTAGCTGGCACTTACTGTCACACCACCTTAACATAAACCAGTTACAATCAACTCAAAATGGCCATGCCAAAGCTAAAAGAGCTGTCACTTAAGAAGGTCATACTAGAGAGCCAAAAACAGCTATGCTAAAAATGATGATCACCTAACGAGGTGAGCTTCCCATAAAAGGCCATGAGTTGAAGGTAAGATCTTAGGTTTTGCTTCTCCTGTGACATAACGTTTTCAGCCTGAGATGCTAAAACAAATTTCCATAGACCACATGGTTTAAACCACAGGCATTTATTTCTCACGGTTCTGAGACTAGAAAGTCCAAGGTCAAGGTGCCAGCAGATTTGGTGAGGCCCCTCTTCCTGCTTTGCAGTTGGCCACCTTCTCATTGTATCCTCACATGGCAAAAAGTATAGAGAGGAAGCAACTCTTCTCAGCCTCTCATCATGAAGGCTCCATATTCATTGCCTCACTTGAAACCTGATTACCTCCCAAAGATCCCACCTCCAAATCCCATTGTGGATTAGGGTTTTAACGTGAATTTAGGAAGGACTACAACATTCAGTCTATAGCACATACATTCTAGAAATTTAGAAGTGTTTCATTTTCATTAATACAGTAATATCCCGCCATACATCAAAGAGTGGTGTCCAAAAAATTCAAAGTTGTGAGATGTGGTATTGTATTCTTGCAAGGGTTATCTGGCCTCTGCCTACCTTTATTACCTATATTTACTACCTATAATTATCTAGCCTCTGCCTACCTTTCACGTTCCCCTTCCTTCACTTCATAAGAGAAGAACCTTTGATGTTTTCTGCTTGGGAATGAGCTGTGCAGAAGTTACATGCTGGTGGCCAATTGCATCTGATACTGTGTTATCATGAAGGTCATGGGATTTCTTGTTTCTTGAGATACAAACACTGAAGTTTAATCCAGAGTAGGTTGTCTTGATTTGTTTTTCAGTGTTTTCCATTTTCTACTGTTCTGCAATGTTGTTACTGGGTATTGTGTCATCTGAACAATTTAAGAGGCTCTTTGAGTTTTCACTATAAAAAAAAATCCCCTTAAATGGAGTTTAAAGTTTGATACATTTATAGTGGATTTAATATCTTTATTCTAATAAAATTTAAATGTAGTCCACATCAAGTTACAGAAATAAAAATGACCTGATACCGACTAATTATTTCCACCATCACCAGAAATCATTTTAAAATAGAAGCTGTAATAACAAAAATAATATTGATCGTATAATAAAATTATTTGAATATCTTGTACTTACTCATCATTCAACACATACTGATAAACAAAACAAGATGAAGTTTTAGTAACTAACTCAAAGTCACAGACCTAGCACAAGATTGTGACCTAAAGCTGTTGTCCTATCTTAATCTGGCCCTCAGATATCCAGGCAAATTTAAATACTTGCAAACAAAAGAGATGCCATTTCTAAGGCTTCAGAGAGCTTATGATATCTCCTGGTATAATAGTCTCTAAGGAACACCTTTATGAGAAGGAAAAGAAAAGGGAGCATGTTTTGTTCTTTTAATCTATCCATCAGTCTGCAAGTTATTAAGTCCACAAATACGTATCAAACACCGACTATTTGACAGGTGTTATGCCAGACATTGTGCATACTGTGCTTAACAACAACAGCTAATATCTCAACCCTGTAAAAAGTTAGTCTTGTGAAATAGAAACTAAATGTAAATGAATAAATGGATAATGACAAATGAAATTAACACTGTTTGTGGTAAGGGCTGTAAAGGGAGTATACCATGGGCGCTTGTGGTTGCGGGAGTTGTGTGGGTGGATGGATGGGGTGCAGTCACACTTTAGAGAGGGTAACAGGAAAAGCCCCTCTGAAGAGGTGATATATCAACAAAGCATTGTAGGATAAAGAGCCAGCATTGAAGAGCAAAGTAAATCAAAACCTGCAGGAGAAACAGCAAGGCTCTGAAGTGGAAAAGGCTTTGAAAGATTGAACATAGGGGAGGGGGTGTCAGATGAGCCAGAAAGTCAACCAGGACCACTTTCATATTAAGTGAAAATTAGATGAGTGTTTCTCAACTTGGTAGGAAAACACCCAGGATTGAAAGAATATTCAAAAGAAGTCTTTGACATAGGTAGGAGGAGCTAGTTATGGCCAATGAATCCAATTAGACTATATATGACAGGTGCCTAGGACACAGTCCGGTGCTTAGAAGATGCTTGGTATACACAAGCTATTTTCAGCCTTTCCCTCCCCTTCTAACAAGGCAGATCTCTTTAAATTGTTTGCAGGACATCCTCGTCTGGGGCCTGTGCTGGCTACTTCAGCCCTCTGCTGCCCTTCAACTAAAGAGTCCTCAACATAATCCCAAAGACCCCAGAATGCCATCTTTGGATCATTTTGCTATTCTAGCTTGCAAATAATTTGAGCCAAAAGCTTGCATGCATTTGGCCTATATATCAGTAATCTTTTTACAGAATACAACTGTGTTAAATATTAAACAGTTTTACAGAAAAATATTTACAAAGATTCATGCCCCATAGCATAACTGTTTATATTGCTATACACATATAATTTTACATAGTTGTAATCAGTGTTCAAATATAGTTGTGTGGCATTTTAAAAATTAACATCTCTTGTAGGTATTTTTCATGCTTCTGTAGTTTTGACAGTCATCACTTTTACAGCTGTATACATCTAAGAGGCATGTGTTTAATAGTTAAATTAATTTTTAGTTGAGAAACATACATAAAATCCATGGATTTTCCTAGTCTAAATGAGTTCCTAGGTCCTTCTCAATATATTTTATTATTCTTTCATGTTTCTAGATCACCTGTGACCTTTTTAAATAAAAATGAAAATTAAAGAAAAATTATCTTTTAAAACTGTTTTTAAAATATTCCTGACATTCAAAGAGATTTTTCTCTCTAATTAAAAAATAATAATTTATATGAAGTGTGTCTAACTTACTTTGTTCACTTTTTTTAGCTTTACTACTAAAAATCTCTACTGTGTCTTTGCCCTTCTCATTAATCTTGGCTCTTCCTTTGGTTCCATTTTCATTAGACTGCAGACCCGGAATAGCTAACACATTGATTGTATTTCCTCACACTTTTTTAGTTTAAATCTTTTCCTTTAGGGCCTGAAGTTTCTTGGACTTCTTCCTTTTGAAAAAGAAGCATGGTTGTTTCTTCTTTTTATTTTATTTTTTCAACAGAATTAGTGTGACTAGCCCTTTAAAAAATGTGGAAAATATGGGAAATTTATGGAGCTCCACCCCGAACTACACCTAGATTTAATTTGTTGGCATAAAGTGATCCTTTTCTTTATGCATGATATGTACATAGCTGTAATCATGCTGGAAGTAATTTTGTATCACTTTCCCACCTAGCCTAACCTAAAAAGCATTTTCCATATTATTACAATTTTTTCATAATCAACATTTTTAATGGCTACATAAACTTTCATTGGTTGGTGACATAATGGTTTTGTTAACCATCTCCACATTCTGTGTTTTCTAAATTTGTGTGCCAGTCTTGTTAAAATTCACTTGTTTGCCATAAAAGCAGAAGACATCCTTAAAGACTCTTAAAGCAGTGTCCATTGTCTCCTGGGTTGACGCTGTTTTTCAGGTGTTTGCATCTTATTTATTAGAGAGCATTTTCACTTTCTCCCAACTATTTCTTTTCTCTCCTGCCCTTTCTGCCTTCCAACACAGCTTGGAATTCCCTGTGACAAGCATTTGATTTGATTTTCCCCTTGTTACAAAGCATCTTCTAATCTGTCAGGAAAGCTCATGCCTGACATTGCTTACCCCATGAACTGAAGCCTAGCAGGCATCAATGATTGTCAAACACATCATAAGCCCTGTAAAGATGAGCCCAGAGGGCCTACACATTCAGAGTAAGGGAGAAGGAGAGTGGAGGAGGGAGACAGAGAATATAGGCACACTCCTCTGTGAGAGAGGAAAAGAGTGATGATTTTAAAAAGTGAAAGGGCAGCTTTGGTTTCTAGAAGAAACATTCTGCAGTGAGAAATGCCTAGGAATAAAACTGACTCCCATGATGGATTGTTACACGTGGATAAGGAGACCTGGAAAATGGCATTGGTTAAACACCACTATCCATTCAGTGCATTAATGAGACAGCTTTCAGAATTCACTTGTATAAAGAGGACTATCAATATTGGAAAAGTCCAGGGGTGCTGTGGCAGATTAGAGCAGGATGAATGCTTGCCAAGGGGATGGGTATTTTTCATGCTGTTCCTCATTTTCCTGCATGCCACCGTCAAACTTGGCAATGCCCAGAAGCCCGAGAAATCCAACCTCATGCTTGCAATAACTGGATGATAATTTCATTGAAGCAAATGTGAAGAGCACCAGTGGATCATGCACTCTCATCAGCTTTTGAAGCTGACATGACATGCTGGGGATACAGGCTCCATAAAGCCCTCAGAATGAAAACATTTTATTGTTCAAACAGATGTCCAAAGACCACGCTGTATTTGACCAGAATTTTTTTCTTGTTGCTGTGTTATTTTAATAAATAATAGGCATTCATTTATTGTTCACTTATTCATTCATTTATACATACACTACTATGGATTTCACAAAGGATTTGAGGCTGTTGCTAGACTGTCATTAGAAAAGATTACTAGGGGGGGAGGAGCCAAGATGGCCGAATAGGAACAGCTCCGGTCTACAGCTCCCAGCGTGAGCGACGCAGAAGACGGTGATTTCTGCATTTCCATCTGAGGTACCAGTTTCATCTCACTAGGGAGTGCCAGACAGTGGGCGCAGGCCAGTGTGTGTGCGCACCGTGCGCGAGCCGAAGCAGGGCGAGGCATTGCCTCACCTGGGAAGCGCAAGGGGTCAGGGAGTTCCCTTTCCGAGTCAAAGAAAGGGGTGACGGACGCACCTGGAAAATCGGGTCACTCCCACCCGAATATTGCGCTTTTCAGACCGGCTTAAGAAACGGCGCACCACGAGACTATATCCCACACCTGGCTCGGAGGGTCCTACGCCCACGGAATCTCGCTGATTGCTAGCACAGCAGTCTGAGATCAAACTGCAAGGCGGCAACGAGGCTGGGGGAGGGGCGCCCGCCATTGCCCAGGCTTGCTTAGGTAAACAAAGCAGCTGGGAAGCTCGAACTGGGTGGAGCCCACCACAGCTCAAGGAGGCCTGCCTGCCTCTGTAGGCTCCACCTCTGGGGGCAGGGCACAGACAAACAAAAAGACAGCAGTAACCTCTGCAGACTTAAGTGTCCCTGTCTGACAGCTTTGAAGAGAGCAGTGGTTCTCCCAGCACGCAGCTGGAGATCTGAGAACGGGCAGACTGCCTCCTCAAGTGGGTCCCTGACTCCTGACCCCCGAGCAGCCTAACTGGGAGGCACCCCCCAGCAGGGGCACACTGACACCTCACACGGCAGGGTATTCCAACAGACTTGCAGCTGAGGGTCCTGTCTGTTAGAAGGAAAACTAACAACCAGAAAGGACATCTACACCGAAAACCCATCTGTACATCACCATCATCAAAGACCAAAAGTAGATAAAACCACAAAGATGGGGAAAAAACAGAACAGAAAAACTGGAAACTCTAAAACGCAGAGCGCCTCTCCTCCTCCAAAGGAACGCAGTTCCTCACCAGCAACAGAACAAAGCTGGATGGAGAATGATTTTGACGAGCTGAGAGAAGAAGGCTTCAGACGATCAAATTACTCTGAGCTACGGGAGGACATTCAAACCAAAGGCAAAGAAGTTGAAAACTTTGAAAAAAATTTAGAAGAATGTATAACTAGAATAACCAATACAGAGAAGTGCTTAAAGGAGCTGATGGAGCTGAAAACCAAGGCTCGAGAACTACGTGAAGAATGCAGAAGCCTCAGGAGCCGATGCGATCAACTGGAAGAAAGGGTATCAGCAATGGAAGATGAAATGAATGAAATGAAGCGAGAAGGGAAGTTTAGAGAAAAAAGAATAAAAAGAAATGAGCAAAGCCTCCAAGAAATATGGGACTATGTGAAAAGACCAAATCTACGTCTGATTGGTGTACCTGAAAGTGATGTGGAGAATGGAACCAAGTTGGAAAACACTCTGCAGGATATTATCCAGGAGAACTTCCCCAATCTAGCAAGGCAGGCCAACGTTCAGATTCAGGAAATACAGAGAACGCCACAAAGATACTCCTCGAGAAGAGCAACTCCAAGACACATAATTGTCAGATTCACCAAAGTTGAAATGAAGGAAAAAATGTTAAGGGCAGCCAGAGAGAAAGGTCGGGTTACCCTCAAATGAAAGCCCATCAGACTAACAGCGGATCTCTCGGCAGAAACCCTACAAGCCAGAAGAGAGTGGGGGCCAATATTCAACATTCTTAAAGAAAAGAATTTTCAACCCAGAATTTCATATCCAGCCAAACTAAGCTTCATAAGTGAAGGAGAAATAAAATACTTTATAGACAAGCAAATGTTGAGAGATTTTGTCACCACCAGGCCTGCCCTAAAAGAGCTCCTGAAGGAAGCGCTAAACATGGAAAGGAACAACCGGTACCAGCCGCTGCAAAATCATGCCAAAATGTAAAGACCATCGAGACTAGGAAGAAACTGCATCAACTAATGAGCAAAATCACCAGCTAACATCATAATGACAGGATCAAATTCACACATAACAATATTAACTTTAAATATAAATGGACTAAATTCTGCAATTAAAAGACACAGACTGGCAAGTTGGATAAAGAGTCAAGACCCATCAGTGTGCTGTATTCAGGAAACCCATCTCACGTGCAGAGACACACATAGGCTCAAAATAAAAGGATGGAGGAAGATCTACCAAGCCAATGGAAAACAAAAAAAGGCAGGGGTTGCAATCCTAGTCTCTGATAAAACAGACTTTAAACCAACAAAGATCAAAAGAGACAAAGAAGGCCATTACATAATGGTAAAGGGATCAATTCAACAAGAGGAGCTAACTATCCTAAATATTTATGCACCCAATACAGGAGCACCCAGATTCATAAAGCAAGTCCTCAGTGACCTACAAAGAGACTTAGACTCCCACACATTAATAATGGGAGACTTTAACACCCCACTGTCAACATTAGACAGATCAACGAGACAGAAAGTTAACAAGGATACCCAGGAATTGAACTCAGCTCTGCACCAAGCAGACCTAATAGACATCTACAGAACTCTCCACCCCAAATCAACAGAATATACATTTTTTTCAGCACCACACCACACCTATTCCAAAATTGACCACATAGTTGGAAGTAAAGCTCTCCTCAGCAAATGTAAAAGAACAGAAATTATAACAAACTATCTCTCAGACCACAGTGCAATCAAACTAGAACTCAGGATTAAGAATCTCACTCAAAGCCGCTCAACTACATGGAAACTGAACAACCTGCTCCTGAATGACTACTGGGTACATAACGAAATGAAGGCAGAAATAAAGATGTTCTTTGAAACCAACGAGAACAAAGACACCACATACCAGAATCTCTGGGACGCATTCAAAGCAGTGTGTAGAGGGAAATTTATAGCACTAAATGCCTACAAGAGAAAGCAGGAAAGATCCAAAATTGACACCCTAACATCACAATTAAAAGAACTAGAAAAGCAAGAGCAAACACATTCAAAAGCTAGCAGAAGGCAAGAAATAACTAAAATCAGAGCAGAACTGAAGGAAATAGAGACACAAAAAACCCTTCAAAAAATCAATGAATCCAGGAGCTGGTTTTTTGAAAGGATCAACAAAATTGATAGACCGCTAGCAAGACTAATAAAGAAAAAAAGAGAGAAGAATCAAATAGACACAATAAAAAATGATAAAGGGGATATCACCACCGATCCCACAGAAATACAAACTACCATCAGAGAATACTACAAACACCTCTACGCAAATAAACTAGAAAATCTAGAAGAAATGGATACATTCCTCGACACATACACTCTCCCAAGACTAAACCAGGAAGAAGTTGAATCTCTGAATAGACCAATAACAGGCTCTGAAATTGTGGCAATAATCAATAGTTTACCAACCAAAAAGAGTCCAGGACCAGATGGATTCACAGCCGAATTCTACCAGAGGTACATGGAGGAACTGGTACCATTCCTTCTGAAACTATTCCAATCAATAGAAAAAGAGGGAATCCTCCCTAACTCATTTTATGAGGCCAGCATCATTCTGATACCAAAGCCGGGCAGAGACACAACCAAAAAAGAGAATTTTAGACCAATATCCTTGACGAACATTGATGCAAAAATCCTCAATAAAATACTGGCAAACCGAATCGAGCAGCACATCAAAAAGCTTATCCACCATGATCAAGTGGGCTTCATCCCTGGGATGCAAGGCTGGTTCAATATACGCAAATCAATAAATGTAATCCAGCATATAAACAGAGCCAAAGACAAAAACCACATGATTATCTCAATAGATGCAGAAAAAGCCTTTGACAAAATTCAACAACCCTTCATGCTAAAAACTCTCAATAAATTAGGTATTGATGGGACGTATTTCAAAATAATAAGAGCTATCTATGACAAACCCACAGCCAATATCATACTGAATGGGCAAAAACTGGAAGCATTCCCTTTGAAAACCGGCACAAGACAGGGATGCCCTCTCTCACCGCTCCTATTCAACATAGTGTTGGAAGTTCTGGCCAGGGCAATCAGGCAGGAGAAGGAAATAAAGGGTATTCAATTAGGAAAAGAGGAAGTCAAATTGTCCCTGTTTGCAGACGACATGATTGTTTATCTAGAAAACCCCATTGTCTCAGCCCAAAATCTCCTTAAGCTGATAAGCAACTTCAGCAAAGTCTCAGGATACAAAATCAATGTACAAAAATCACAAGCATTCTTATACACCAACAACAGACAAACAGAGAGCCAAATCATGGGTGAACTCCCATTCACAATTGCTTCAAAGAGAATAAAATACCTAGGAATCCAACTTACAAGGGATGTGAAGGACCTCTTCAAGGAGAACTACAAACCACTGCTCAAGGAAATAAAAGAGGAGACAAACAAATGGAAGAACATTCCATGCTCATGGGTAGGAAGAATCAATATCGTGAAAATGGCCATACTGCCCAAGGTAATTTACAGATTCAATGCCATCCCCATCAAGCTACCAATGACTTTCTTCACAGAATTGGAAAAAACTACTTTAAAGTTCATATGGAACCAAAAAAGAGCCCGCATTGCCAAGTCAATCCTAAGCCAAAAGAACAAAGCTGGAGGCATCACACTACCTGACTTCAAACTATACTACAAGGCTACAGTAACCAAAACAGCATGGTACTGGTACCAAAACAGAGATATAGATCAATGGAACAGAACAGAGCCCTCAGAAATAATGCCGCATATCTACAACTATCTGATCTTTGACAAACCTGAGAAAAACAAGCAATGGGGAAAGGATTCCCTATTTAATAAATGGTGCTGGGAAAACTGGCTAGCCATATGTAGAAAGCTGAAACTGGATCCCTTCCTTACACCTTATACAAAAATCAATTCAAGATGGATTAAAGATTTAAACGTTAAACCTAAAACCATAAAAACCCTAGAAGAAAACCTAGGCATTACCATTCAGGACATAGGCGTGGGCAAGGACTTCATGTCCAAAACACCAAAAGCAATGGCAACAAAAGACAAAATTGACAAATGGGATCTAATTAAACTAAAGAGCTTCTGCACAGCAAAAGAAACTACCATCAGAGTGAACAGGCAACCTACAACATGGGAGAAAATTTTCGCAACCTACTCATCTGACAAAGGGCTAATATCCAGAATCTACAATGAACTCAAACAAATTTACAAGAAAAAAACAAACAACCCCATCAAAAAGTGGGCGAAGGACATGAACAGACACTTCTCAAAAGAAGACATTTATGCAGCCAAAAAACACATGAAGAAATGCTCATCATCACTGGCCATCAGAGAAATGCAAATCAAAACCACTATGAGATATCATCTCACACCAGTTAGAATGGCAATCATTAAAAAGTCAGGAAACAACAGGTGCTGGAGAGGATGCGGAGAAATAGGAACACTTTTACACTGTTGGTGGGACTGTAAACTAGTTCAACCATTGTGGAAGTCAGTGTGGCGATTCCTCAGGGATCTAGAACTAGAAATACCATTTGACCCAGCCATCCCATTACTGGGTATATACCCAAATGAGTATAAATCATGCTGCTATAAAGACACATGCACACGTATGTTTATTGCGGCACTATTCACAATAGCAAAGACTTGGAACCAACCCAAATGTCCAACAATGATAGACTGGATTAAGAAAATGTGGCACATATACACCATGGAATACTATGCAGCCATAAAAAATGATGAGTTCATATCCTTTGTAGGGACATGGATGAAATTGGAAACCATCATTCTCAGTAAACTATCGCAAGAACAAAAAACCAAACACCGCATATTCTCACTCATAGGTGGGAATTGAACAATGAGATCACATGGACACAGGAAGGGGAATATCACACTCTGGGGACTGTGGTGGGGTCGGGGGAGGGGGGAGGGATAGCATTGGGAGATATACCTAATGCTAGATGACACATTAGTGGGTGCAGCGCACCAGCATGGCACATGTATACATATGTAACTAACCTGCACAATGTGCACATGTACCCTAAAACTTAGAGTATAATAAAAAAAAAAAAAAAGAAAAAAGAAAAGATTACTAGGTTGTTTTCAACAGAATGAAAAAAAAACCCAGCTTATCAGTAGTGAAATTGTTTGCACTGTGATGAGATGAATTTTATTGGTAGTCACCACAGAGTTCCCTCTACCAGCTTAAAATATATTGTTATGTGTTATATACTTAACATACATTCCATAAGGTCAATATATATGTTGCCTGCTAATTATGCCACAATAGACAATTTAGATCTAAGAGCAATGTAAAGACTTTTTCAATCACAAAATTTCAATTACATATATGAATTAATCCTTGTACCCTCATGAAACTGCACTAAATTTTGAGAAAGTAAATAAAAATGAATTATAAATGTACAAAGGAACAGACCAGAGAGAGTATTTCAAGTTTTTAGAACACTGGAAGTGGAGGAAGAGATTCGTTTTTCGAAGAAACCTGAATCCCAAATGCTTGCACAAGTGGAAGATAATTAGGACAAAGTCAATGAGACCTCCAGAATTCGGAGGCACCAATACCACAGAAGATAATAGTGAAGCACCAGAAAAAAAATGGGGACACTGGTAGAAAAGTCAGTACCCTGATTCATTCTCTCTTCCACCTGGTTGGGCAACTTCACTTTCTCCACTGCAGCATGGAGTTTATCTGGAGAGATTTTAAGTCATAGAGGTTTCATTCTAGGGAACACTAGGTACAGCACACAGTGGGAGAGAGACAGTGTGGTAGAAACAAAGAGGTTAAGATGAAGTTACTCCAGCCACCACCCACAAAGTGTTTCCAAGAATTCTGGGACTGACCTCATACCTAACAATTACTACCCATCCAAACCCTGGGCCTGATCTTGGCTGAAGATAAGTAAAGCCTTTTGTTTCATCCCTACAGAACAAGAATACATGAGAGAAAAAGACTCAGAGATATGGCTAATTGGTATTTCCGTAAGAGCAATTCCCAGGTTTCCAACCAATCACTCAACAATTTCTACCCGTGTTCTAATCAGCTATGTAATGCCCGGTCTCTAATAGTAATGCCCGGTTTCTAATAGAAGTTTTCAAACACCAGGGATAAAAATAAGTTGATAAAATATTCTAGACAACAAACAAACAAGCAAACAAGGTCAAAGACAAAAGAACAGATATTAGAATAGTATAGGATTTTTCAGTAGCAACACTAGAAGGTGAATGACAATGAAGCAATGCTCTCAAAATTCTGAGGAAAAATTTAGTTTTGACCTATGATGCCATACCTGGCAAGATTCTCAGTCAAGCATGAAGATAGAAAATAACGCTTTCAGAAATGTTTCAGGTCTCAAGATTCCCTCTGATGCCTTATTCTCAGGAAATCACTTGAAAGTGTGCCTCTCCCAAATTAGGGCATAGAGCAAGAAGGGCAAAGGCACTTTGTCCAGGAAATACTGGATCAATCAGAGGAGAACTGTAGAAAAATCCCAAAAGTTTAAATATACCATTCAGAATGCCACCACTCTAGAGTAGAAGTGGAGGTTGGAAGGCACAGGATGGAGGACTGTTTCAAAGGGAAGAAGAAATACTTGCTTAGCTACTACAGAAAAAAGTATTCTAAAGGGTTCTATACGTCTTTTGTCGAGTTTGCAGAAAAATGGTGATAACAGTATATTGAAAACTAAGAAAATTTTATATAAAGGCAGTTATTAACTGCAATATAAAAAAGTAATACCAGTCAGAATATATAATCATGGTACTCTACAATTGAACAATACCATGTATCATATAAATACAGTAAATATATTTTTAATTTAACCAAAATTGGATTGCAATAATATTGTGTAAATGGAGGGAAGAAAAGAGGTGTTCAGAGAGGCAGGGTATAAGCCTGCTAAATCATTATTTATCACACAACCAAAGCCCAGATCCTTTAATAGGTTCTTTTAAATACCATCTTACTAAGACAATGCATGATTTCCCCACGGTGCCTGTCCTTTCTCTCTGCAAGTAGTAATAATCAATACTTGTTCAATCACTGGTGTGCTCCAGGTGAGCTTTGGCTGGAGCTCATTGACACTATCGATTTCTTTTGTGCATGGAAATTTCCTAGGCTGAGTACAGAAAAGTTTCCATGTGAGCAAGAATCACTTTTCTCTGACAACAAATACAGTCTGACTGGGATGAGGAGTGCTTCAGCCCAAGCAACACACTTGCTTCTTCCATCATGTTTAGGAACTTGGGTTCTGGGTTCAGAGTGTCAGATATCAAATGCCCACCCCACTGTCTATTGTTTCTCTAGTTACCTAATCTCCCTACATCTTAGTTGCCTCATCCTAAAGCTTGGATTATCCCAGTCCCAGCCACACAAGGTTGCCATGTCACTTAAAAAAGAGATGACGATCATGGGTCAAATAGTATTTCTGGTTCTAGATCCTTGAGGAATTGCCACACTGTCTTCCACAATGGTTGAACTAATTTACACTTCCCACCAACAGTGTAAAAGAGTTCCCATTTCTCCACATCCTCTCCAGCATCTGTTGTTTCCTGACTTTTTAATGATTGCCTTTCTAACTGGTGTGAGATGGTATCTCATTGTGGTTTTGATTTGCATTTCTCTAATGACCAATGATGATGAGCTTTTTTTCATATGTTTCTTGGCCACATAAATGTCTTGGATCTAGAACCAGAAATACCATTTGATGCAGCAATTCCATTACTGGGTATACACCCAAAGGATTATAGATCATTCTACCACAAAGGCAAATGCACATGAATGTTTATTACAGCACTGTTTACAATAGCAAAGACTTGGAACCAATCCAAATGCCCATCAATGGTAGACTGGATAAAGAAAATGTGGCACACATACACCATGGGATACTATGCAGCCATAAAAATGGTTGAGTTCATGTCCTTTGCAGGGACATGGATGAAGCTGGAAACCATCATTCTCAGCAAACTAACACAGGAACAGAAAACCAAACACCACATGTTCTCACTCATAAGAGGGAGTTGAACAATGAGAACACATGGACACAGGGAGGGGAACATCACACACCAGAGCCTGTCTGGGGGTGGGGGGCTAAGGGAGGGATAGCATTAGGAGAAATACCTGATATAGATGATAAGTTGATGGGTGCAGCAAACCACCATGGCACGTGTATACCATTGTAACCAACCTGCACTTTCTGCACATGTACCCCAGAACTTAAAGTATAATAATAATAATAATATTAAAAAAAGAGGTGATGATCATGAAGGATCTAGCACAGTGCTTGATGCATTTCAGTTCTCATCAAATGTTTATTACTATTAACATCATCCATTGCCCACAACAGCACTTTGAATGAAGGAAGTTTAAAATTAAGTGTGTAGAAGAGAAGTTTATTTCATGTCTTTTGAAAGTACCTAGCACATAGTAGGCATTCCATACATATTTTTGAATGAATGGATAAAACTTATTTTGTAATTGCTTTTCCCATGGAGTTGAGTATCAATTCTGTTTTTAAAAAGTGAAAACATACTGGGCACATTCAAAGTGGTCTTCTGGTATAATAATAGCTAATGTGAATGAACAAAATTATGGGACATATTTTTAAACTTGGGATTACTGTCACCAAGGACTTGCTTTATGAATCTGGGAGCTCCGGTATTGGGTGCATATATATTTAGGATAGTTAGCTCTTCTTGTTGAATTGATCCCTTTACCATGATGTAATGGCCTTCTTTCTCTCTTTTGATCTTTGTTGGTTTAAAGTCTGTTTTATCAGAGACTAGGATTGCAACCCCTGACTTTTTTTGTTTTCCATTTGCTTGGTAGATCTTCCTCCATCCCTTTATTTTGAGCCTATGTGTGTCTCTGCACGTGAGATGGGTTTCCTGAATACAGCACACTGATGGGTCTTGACTCTTTATCCAATTTGCCAGTCTGTGTCTTTTAATTGGAGCATTTAGCCCATTTACATTTGAAGTTAATATTGTTATGTGTGAATTTGGTCCTGTCATTATGATGTTAGCTGGTTATTTTGCTCGTTAGTTGATGCAGTTTCTTCCTAGCCTTGATGTCATATGAGGGGTGTATCTATGGTATTGTCAGCTACTGAATTTTTAGAGTAATTATGTGTCATCTAATGTCTTTTACTGAAAATATATTGCTTTTGCTGAAAACTGGAAAATATTTGTCTACCCTAATGTGATGCTACAATCTCTTTTAATGGTGAAACTTCCAATAAGAATTTTTACAAGTCTTATCAATAGGTGGACTATTTGTACACATGTTCACCCACTAAAATGTCACTTGTTTCTAAATAAATTCTTTGCTTACATTTTGAAAAAATATATCCCTCTATCATTCTTTTGAGATTTAGGAAGGAAGATGCCAAAGTCAGCAAGATACACCCTCTGGCAGCCATGATTTGGAACATATTGCAACAATCAAATATGACATAGTTAACAATCTATCTGGCTCAACCTGAATTCTGATATGCTAATAATTGATAATCTGGTGATGCAGAAAACAGTATGCAGATTCCCTAATGCTTCAAACACTCAGTGAAGCTTCCTTCTAAGCTATTTCCACTTCACTCTGTGCCCTAACTCCATCTTGGAATAATATCTTTCACAGGCTTTCAACTTTGTTTTGTTCTTGTTACACAAGACAGTCGGGAGTTAAAAGGATTTAAACTGATCTATATGTCTGTGTTTGTACATATACATGTTTACATGTTTTTCTGTCAAAATATCTCTAGTAAAATCTCACCAATGTGGGTTTTTAAAATATAATTTACACAGTGCCTTGCTTGAAATGCTACTTTTAATTTATGTGTGAAAAAAATTCAACCAAATTAATCTACAGCAGTGGCCCTCAAACTTTTCTGTGTGTTCAAATGAACACACAGCTGACAACACACACATAATTCTGAGTTTAGAAGTTTTGATGCTGAGACTGCACCCCATTCCAATTAAATACCTGAGAGTAGAAACCAGTAATGTTATTTATTTATTTATTTATTTATTTTGAGATGGAGTCTCACTTTGTCACCCAGGCTGGAAGGCAGTGGTGTCATCTCAGCTCCCTGCAACCTCCAGCTCCCAGGTTGAAGTAATTCTCCTGCCTCAGCCTTCAGAGGAGCTAGGACTACAGGCATGTGCCACCACACCAGGCTATTTTTTGTTTTTTAGTAGAGATGGGGTTTCACCATATTGGCTGGGCTGGTCTCAAACTCCTGACCTCAAGTGGTCCACCTGCCTCTGTCTCCCAAAGTGCTGGGATTACAGACGTGAGCCTCTCCACCTGGCCAAAACCAGTAATTTCTGTTTTCTGAAGCTTCCTGCCAAGTTGATTCCAATGCATAGTCAAGTCTGAAAACAGCGATCTAAACAGGCTACTCTAAGAGCAATTAATGGGTTAACAGCACTATCTGGGAGCTCATGAAAAATCAGAGTCCTAGGTTCCTCCCTAGACCCCAACCTACTGATTTAGAAGCTTATTTAGACCCGTGCTTTCCAAACTTTAATGTGCCTTCCAATGACCTAAATATTCTTGTTACAATGCAAATTCGGAGTCAGTTTTCTAGCCATGGGGCCTGGGACTGCATTTTTAACAAGCTCCCAGGGGCTACCCAAGCTGCTAGTCCAAAGACTATGTTTTGAATAACAAGGATTTAGCTACTATAGGAGGAAACATCTTCCTCAGAACAGGGGGACAGGAGGGTTATGGGAAAGACACAGTCATCACATCCTCCAATTTAACAAGGATAAAATTAACTACAGTTTTAGGCAATGGCTACCTACCAGATGATGAGCTAAGATGATGAGATGATCAGCTAAGATAAGATTAGCTTATAGAGCTTTCTCTACAAGCTGTATGAGGAAGAACTATGATAATTTATATTTAAAAAATAAACTGAGGTTCATAGAGGTGAAGGATATGGCTCAAAGCTGAGCATTTAGGCCTGTGTTTCCATAACAAATGTTTCCTCTCCTATATAGAGGGGTCTCAGGCTCTGTGGTGATTAGGAATCAACTGATGTGCTTATAATTTATGCTTATGCCACAAATTATAAAATCTTATTCAGCATGGTTGAGGTGAGGGGACCCAAGAACCCATTATCACCCCAAGAGATGGTCCGAGTCCCTTGTTAAGTTTCAAATGATGACATCCAGGCAACAGGGTAGTAGTGTAAAGTGTTCCTCAATGGAATGTGCCAAATTAATCCAGGAGGATCTCTATGTAGCAACACTTTATTAATGTTGGTAATATACAGTTAACTCTATATACTTAAAGTAACAAGACATACTATTGAAATGAATTTTTCAAGGGATGAGGTTCTTAATTTTTTTAATACATGGGAAGACACCATCACTGTGATTACCACTCTGGGACATACAAAATAAGTGTAAGACACAGCACATCTCTAAAAGCCACTTTTACAGGAGACAGATATAAAACCATAAAGTAGTTAAATAGTAACACACGGTGGCATATGCTAGATGCCAAATGAACGATAGAGGCAGCACTCATGATGATAGCAGCTGCTACGTATTGAATGCTTATTATGCGGCAGATGTTTTACGCAAAGTGCCTCATTCAATCACTACACTCTATATAAAGTTATAATTAATATTCCTATTTTACAGATAAGGAAAAGGAAGCTTAAGGAGCTTTGTGATTTTCCCACAAACTCACTGATATTAAATGCCAAACTGGTATTCTAAGTCTAGGTCTCCAAATGCAATACGATTTCTGCAATGCCTTACTGACTCTCTCACACCACACAGTCTCCTCGGTATTCTTGTAAGTCAGTGAACAAAACATGCAGCCACAGAGAAAACTTCATGGGGACATTTTACATGAGCTGTTTTTTTGTAAAGACTGTAGGGATTTAGACAAGTGGAGAAGGAACAAAAAAGGGAGCAGAGTCAGGAAGTATGGGGTATTTAAGGTGGATAAAAATAGCTTGTTTGGGGGAGGAGTAAGGGGAAAATAAATGAGCTAAGGCTGGATATGAAAGACCTTCAAAATCAGTCTCAGGGATATTAGTCTAAGGTCGGTGTGGTCTCGTGGAAGTTTTTAGTGGAGAAAGAGAAATGATGACCACGGAGTTTTCATAAAATGAATGAGACTCCAATGTGATGAATGGCTTCTAGTGCAGGAAAGAAAGGGGTTGGTGACATATTCTAACCAACCACATCTGAAGATGAGAGGGTCTAATCTAAGATAGTGGAAATAGGACAGAAAAGAAAAGGATGGATATGAAGGAGATTTTGATGTAGAAATTGCAAGGACAACATCACCAGCAATATTGGGTGAATATGATACCTTTTATACATTTTTTTTTAACAGTTAAGTACCCTACATTGCCTTAGGCACTGGTCTAGGTGCTGAGGATAAACACACACTGACACACACGGACATACAATGCAAGGATGTAGCTGTTAGAAACAGTTGGTTAGAGGTACAGATAACAATATGAATGGACCTTAAAAGCACTGTTAAAGAAAAAAAGTAAGATACGTTTGTGATTTATAACACAATATCACATTTATATTAAAGTGCATGTGAATTTTTTTAAGTATACATTTTTCAAGAATAAACACAGATGAATGTACACATTAAGTATGTCAGAGTTGTTATTTACAGAGGTAAAGTGTAAAATGGAAGGGAAAATGGGCACTAATGGGGAACAGATTATTAAATAAGAGAGCACGTGTGCAGACAATTAATGATACTGTGTCATGGATTGAGGAATGTAACTAATTAGTACCACTTAGAGTCTAAGGTACACTCAAACAAAAAGGTGAATAAGATTTTTATCATATGTTCAAAGGGTCACAGTCTATTGTAGAAGATAGGATGTTCATTAATTCAATGCCTACATTTAGCTGCTTTTTACATATCAAGGACTCTGTTAGATGCTGGAAATTCAAAGATAGAGTTTATGGGACAAAGAAGCACACAATGGCAATGAAATGTGAGAAATAATCATATATATTTATTGCAGCATTTATGGATGCACAGAAAAAAGAGCCATCTGACCCAGACAGAAGATCAGTGAAGGCTTCCAAGAGGAGCTAAACCTGTGCATAGTTTTAAAGGATGATATATTAGTTTGCTAGGGTTTTTATAACAAGGTACCAGACTGGTTTTCCTAACATCAGAAACTTATTTTCTCACAATTATTGAGGTTAGAAGTCTGAGATCAAGATGTTGGCAGGGTAGATTTCTCCTGAGGCCGCTCTCCTTGGCTTCTAGACAGTCATTTTCTGCTTTCTGTGTCTTCATATGGTCTTCCCTCTGGGCATGCCTTTGTCCTTCTCTTCCTTCTCTTCTTATAATTAAGGACATCAGTCATGTTGAATTAGGGCTTATCCTAATAACCTCATTTTAACTTAATTACCTCTCTAAACAGTCTTTCTCCAAATCTAGTCACATTGTGAGGAACTGGGGATTAGGATTTCAACATATGAATTTTGGGAAACAGAGTTAAGCCACATGAGTAAAAATTAAGTGATCAATTCTGCTTTACCAAACATAAAGCTTCCTATGGAAAGCTTGAGATATGGACATCATTAAGTCTTGGGATGTTGAGTTTGGGAGCAAGGGCAGCAACAGAAAATATGAAATGAGCACTTGAAGATATACAATTGGACACCTGCAGTATGAACATTAAAAAGCAGGTGAGGAACAAGAATAAAGAGAACCAGAAACAGAGAAGAGGATAGGTGGTTGGAGAAATTCAAGCTCAATTTAACTGCATTAGGGTCTGTCATGTAGGGCAGAAACCTGGAGGCTTTACTAAAAATATTTTTGACAAAAGAAGTAAAGATGATATAAAATTACTTCTAAATTTATATTTAAAATGCTGTGTCACAAATTCAAAGGGCACATGGAAATGGACATTTGAAACAAAAAAGAGAGAAATTTCTGGAAAAGATTTCACATAGTAAGAACTAAATAGTGGGTTTGTAGATTGTTTAGACTAAAGATTTCGCGAGTCTTAGAAACTTTTGGATATCTGCATTCCCCATAAGTATCGCCGAACTTAATTTAATTAGACTGAAGTATGTAAAAGCAGAGAGGCATCCCTAAAATACAGTTCACTTTGTGTCAGAGGAATTTGTTGTGAATTTATATTATATGTTTACAAACTCTTCTTCTCTTTTGACCAATTATCCTTAAATTATATGGTTCAGCATGAGTTTATATAATAGGAACATTTCAGAATTTCGTGGTTTACAACTTGAATATTTTTTAATAGGAAAGGCTTTGAGAGGAGTTCTGCATTTGCTTAGGTTATGCAAGCTGCAGAGAACATGGCTCTCACCCTAAAACTACGAAAAATGTAGATATATGCAAGCATAATTTTTGAGCCCATCAGAGTTGAATTCCAAAGGATGGCAAAATGTAAGATTTAGGACAGATGAGTTATTTTACCTTTGGTAAAGCAGGAGAAGAAGACGTGGAAGTCATAAAAGTAAGTAAAAAAAGAAACTGTATTGATATCTGTAAGACCTAATGTGGGTGGTTGAATAATACCTTCACTTCCTCCTCTGAGTATGTCTATGTCTTAATCCCCATAGCCTGTGAATATGTTAGATTACATGGCAAAGAATTATGGTTGCAGATACAGTTAAGGTTGTTAATCATTTTACCTGGAGGTGAGGAGATTATCTTGGATTATCTGGTAGACCCAGTATAGTCACAAGGGTCATAATTGGAAGATGGAGGCAGAAGAGTTACAGGTAAAGATGCTACCCTCCTGGACTTGAAGAGGGAGGAAGCAGACATGAGCCAAGGAATGTGGGTAGTCCCTAGAAGCTAGAAAAGGCAAGACGATAAATTCTCCTCTAGAGTCTCCAGAAGGAATGCAGCCCTGATGACATTTTAGTTTAAGGGAATGAGACCTATTTGAGACTTCTGATCTTTAGAGCTGTACAACATTAAATCTGTGTTATTTTAAAGCACTGTGTTATGGTAATTTGTTGCAGCAGCAATAGGAAACAACTATGCCTCCTATAGGTTAGTATGACAGGTTACAATCTTGGAACCTCACATGAGTCTATAGTCACTCACCATTTGTTTTACACAGACCTCTGCCACGCATTCATGTGAAAGACTGAGGACATGGGAGACCTGAGGGAGTCTCTCTTGGTAGGATAACTGTGTAGGTTCTTACAAGATTTGTGGGTATAAGCAGTATTTTGAGAAACCCATTGCACGCTGGGACGTATATGAGTACAAGGTGGTGATGGGTTGCTGCTAGGGGCAGAAACAAAACATGATCTAGTCCTGACCTTCACAGATACACAGATAAGAAGAAAAAATCAGTGGGTACTGGGGGTGAAGAAAGACCTATCCCTGCTGTGTAAGTCTACTTTAAAACAAGGAAAAAGCCATTCACTAATGCGCAGGGTAGGAAATCCTTGTGTTCTCAGTCTAAGCAAATTTGGCCACTACTAGGGAAAGCATAAAAAACCTGCTCCCAACACCCTACATAGACACCAGGCACAAATTCTCAGCTGCTGCAGAGGGGAAGAAAACTCACTCATGCCCAGGATCATTCACTAAGACAAAGCAGAAGTCTGCTACTGTCGGGGAAGGCCAAGAATCTTGTCCTTCCCACTCATCTTTCCAACAATACATGGGAGAGTTTAGTTGCCATCCAGGAAAATGTAAAGACCTCAACCTGTGCGTTAAGCCCCGAAATCAGGAGAAATTGGAGGTTTCCTGCCACCAGGGAAGGGGCAATAACATTGAAAAAGCCTTACTCCTGAGATCTAGGCACATAGACCTGCCTGCCTAATACAGAGGTTGAAGAACCAAGGAAGGAACCAAGAAAACTTCCTGCCCCGATTAGGAGCTTTTCACCGCGTAATGATGGGCTGCAGTTTACCACTGGGGGATTGGCGAGAGCTCAGAAACAGAGACTCACCACAGCGTCTCTGAAAGGGGAGAGTAAAGAAAGAACACTAAGAAAAATCTAGCACTTTAGGCCTCAAAATAAGAGCAAAGTAATGTCAGTCCACAACTGGCGGAATTGGAAACTTGCAGAGCGCTGACAATAACTATAGCAACAGCAAAACCCAAACACAATTTAGTCACCAACTGAGTTCACTCAACCATACTAATAGGCTAAGAGAAGAAAAAACATTCTGAATGTAAATAAAATTTATCTCAGCCTTTTCTGTCCTTTTAGAAATAATGTTTGGCCTTCAATAAAACGTTACAAATACACACACATATACACACACACGGATACACACACCAATAAAAAAAGTCACATTGCAATAAACAAAACAATTGACAGAGAACACGAACCAAAAATAATCTAGAACTTGAAACTATTAGAAAGGGACTTTAAAATTGTTATGATTAAAATTATGATAAATACGATTGCAGGATCTAGTGAAAGAGATAGACAACATGAATGAACACAAAAGGAAATTTACTAGAGAAATGAAAACCATATATTTTAAAAAGGGTTCAATTCAAATTCTAAAAAAAAAATTACAATCTCTATGCCAATAAATTCAACAGTTTAGGGAAAAAATAGATACATTTCTTCAAAAACACAAAACAACAAAGCTAACTCTAGAAGAAACAGATAATACAAATAGTCTACAAATATGTCTAATACAAATATGATAATACAAATATGTCTAAGACATATTTAAATAAATGAGATTTATTGTGAAAATTTCTACCATAATGAAAATTTTAAGCCAAAATGGCTTCACTAGAGAAAAGATAAATACTTAAGGAAGAAATTACACCAATTATACTCAAATCATTTCAAGAAATTGAAAAGAAGGAAAAACTACCCAGTTTTATGGGGCCAGCAAAACCCGATAGCAAAACCAGATGAAAACATCGCACACACACCCCTATAGACCAGTGTCAGAATATAGATGTAAATGACCTCTGAAAAACTTTCAGCAAGTTGAATCTACCAATGCAAAGAAAGAATTAACACATCATGACCAAGTGGGGTTTATTTTAGGAATATAAGACTGCTTCAACATTTAAAATTAAACAATATCTCTCTCTCTATATATATACACAAACTAAAATAGAAAAGCTAAATGCTCTTTTCATTCAATATAGGAAAAGCAACTAAAAATGTAATATCCATGCAGAGTGCAAAAATATTTCTGCAAAATGGGAATAAAAGTAACATCTAATATGGGACACCTACAAAAACCTAGAGGTACATCACATGTAATGCTCAATGCTTTCCCCTTAAGATTAAAACAAGACAAAGATATACACTTTCACCATTTTGTTCAATATTGTACTAGAAGTCAAAACCATCACAATAAGGCAAGAAAAAGATATACAAACATATAGATTTAAAAGAAAGCCGTAAACCTGTGTTTAAACCTAACTGTTTACATTAAAATTCTCAAGAAATCTATTAAAAAGATACTAGAACTAATACATGAGGTAAGAAACATCAAAGAACATAAGGCATTACAAAAAATCAACTGCATTTCAATATATAATCAATGAACAAAAGCAAATTGAAATAAAAGAAAAATAACACCACCTAAGATAGCATCGCAAACCAAGAAATACATAGGGACAAACTTAACAAAATACGTGTTAAGCCTGTGCAATGGAAACTACAAAACATCTCTGACAGAAATTTTTAAGATACCTAAATGAGCATATCCAAAGACTCAATGTTTAAAAAGAAAAAAATGAAAAGATTCAATGCTGTTAAACATTAAAATCAGCTATCCCCAAATTGTTTCTGTACTAAAAGAAAACATAAGGAGAAAGCTCCATGACATTGTTTTGAGCAATGATTTTCTGGATATGCCTTTAAAAGCACAGGCAACAAAAACAAAAATAGACAAACGGGGCTACAACAAACTAAAAAGCTTCTGCCCAGCAAAGGAGACAAAAAACAAAGTAAAGAGACAAGCTACAGAATGGGACAAAACATTTGCAAACTATACATCTGTTAAGGGGTTAATATCTAAAATATAAGGAACTCAAACAACTCAATAACAAGAAAACAACCCAATTAAAAATGAGCAAAAGACCTGAATAGACTTTTTTCAAAAGAAAATATAAAAATGGCCAACAAGTATATGAAAAAATGTTCAACATCACTAATTATTCAGGCAAATGCAAATCAAAATCATAATGAACTACCACCTCACACCTATTAGAATGGCTACAACCAAAAAGACAAAAGATAACAAGTGTTGGCAAGGATGTGAAGAAAAGGGAGCCCTTGCATACTCTTGGTGGGAATGTAAATTAACACAGCTACTATAGATAACAGTATGGAGATTCCTCAAAAAATTAAAAATAGAACTACCATATGACTCAGAAAACGCACTGCTGAGTATAGAGCCAAAGGAAATGAAATCAGTACATTGAAGAGATATCTGTACTCCCAGGTTAATTGCAGCACTATTCCCAAGAGCCAAAAAATAAAAAATAAAAAAACATGGAATCAACTCAGGGTTCATTAACAAATGAATGGATAAAGAAAAAAAATATATATATACAATGTAGTACTGTTCAGCCATAAATAATAAGGAAATTGTATCCTTTGGGACAACTTGGATGAACGTGGAGAACATTATGGTAAGTAAGCCAGGCATAGAAACAAAATACTGCGTGATTCCATTTATGTGGGGAATCTAAAAAAGTTGATCAGATAGAAGTAGAGAATAGAATAGTGGTTATCACAGGCTGAGGCAGTTAGCAGGGTAGGGATGAATGGGAAAATGTTGATTAAAGGAAACATATATATAGTTAGAGATATTCAATAAGTTTAAGAGATATATTGTACAGTATGGTGACTATGGTTAATAATAATATATTGTATTCTTGAGAGATGCTAACAGAGTGACGGTTAAGTGTTCTCACCAAAAAAGTGATAGCTATATGAGGTAATGCATTTGTTAATTAGCTAGGTTTAACCATCCCACAATGTACTTCAAAGCATCACGTTGTACAATGTAAATACATTGTATATGACAATTTAACAATAAATATATTTGAAAATATATAACATTTTAGAAGTCCAATCAAAGATCCAGTGGAGGCCTGGCGCTGCGGCTCACGCCTATAATCCCAGCACTCTGGGAGGCCGAGGCAGGAGGATCACAAGGTCAAAGGATCGAGACCATCCTGGCCGACATGTTGAAACCATGTCTCTACTAAAAATACAAAAATTAGCTGAGTGTGGTGCCGTGCACCTGTAGTCCCAGCTGCTCAGGAGGCTGAGGCAAGAGAATCACTTAAACCCGAGAGGCTGAGGTTGCAGTGAGCCAAGATCGCACCACTGCACTCCAGCCTGGTGACAGACCAAGACTCCATCTCAAAAAAAAAAAAAAAAAGAAATAAAGAAATAAAATCCAGTGGACTTTTGTAAAAAAAAAAAAAAATTAATGAACTGCTTCTACATTGTATATAAAAATGCAAATAAAAGGTTTTTTTGGAAAAAAAAAACAAAGTTGAAGGATTTGAATACCTGATTTCAAAGTTTAATATATGTTTACAGTAATCAAGACAGTGAGATATGAGAGTAAGGGTAGACAAATAAATGAAATAGAACAAAGAATACATAAATAAACACAAATACACACACATATAGTCAGTTGAATTTTGAAAAAGAAACCAAGATAGGCTGGGCGCAGTGGCTCACGCCTGTAATCCCAGCACTTTGGGAGGCCAAGGCGGGCAGATCACCTGAGGTCAGGAGTTCGAGACCAGCCAAGCCAAAATGGTGAAACCCCATCTCCACTAAAAATACAAAAATTAGCTGGGTGTGGTGGTGCATGCCTGTACTCCCAGATACTCAGGAGGTTGAGGCAGAAGAATTGCTTGAACCCAGGAGGCGGAGGTTGCAGTGAGCTGAGATTGTGCCACTGTACTCCAGCCTGAGTGACAGAGTGAAACACTGTCTCAAAAAAAGAAAATGAAAGAAACCAAGGTAATATGATGGTAAAGAATAATGCTTAAAACAAATTGTGCTGGAATAGATGCAAACAAACAAATAAACTTTGACCCTTAATGTAGCATAATATGTAATAGCTAAAACTGTAAAACATCTAGAAGAAATCATAGAAGGAAATCTTTGAAACTTTGGCTTTCATAAAAACTTTTTAGATAGCTCAACCATAAAGAAAACAAATGATAAATTATAATTTATCAACATTGTATTTTTCTCATTAAAAGAAAATGTTAAGAAAATAAAATGGTAGGCACAGACCAGGAATAATACACTAGAAAAAAAACACTTTGAATATTACAAAAAAAGCCATAAAATTTATGAAGAATTCTTAAAATTCAATAATAAAAAGACAAAAGTCACATAAAAATGAGCAAATAATGTTAACAGAGGCTTAATTAAATAAGACATACAGAGGACAAATAAGCCCATAGAAAGAGGCTAAACATCTTTATTATTAGAAAAACACAAATTAAAATTACGAGATTCTACTTCATGCCCACTGGAATGATGAAAGTTACAAAGACTGACAATATGAAGTGTTGACAAGGCAGTGGAGCACCTAGAACTCTCATATATTGCCAGGTTTTTTTTAATGAAAATGCCTGCCCCATTTTGTGTTTGTAAATTATTTTGTTTGTAAGTTAAACAAATACTATATGACTTAGCAATTACATTCCTAGGTATTTATCCAAGACTGATAAAAACATATTTCTATACAAAAACCTGTACAGGAATATTCATTTCAGCTATATTTATAGTAGCCAAAAATAGAAAGAACTCAAATGTCGAGAATATCTATACAATGTAATACTACTCAGAAAAATAAAAATCAGTAATTTCTAGGGGATGTTAATGGAGGAAGAATGAAAATATTCTGTCTCAATTATAGTGACTGTTATATACATTTGTTAAATGTATATAATTTTGACATTATATACATTCATATACCAATATAAATTATAAACATTTGTCAAAGCGCTGTACTCTTAAAATGGGTGAATTTTATTACTACAATTTTTTAAAAATGAACATACATTGGTTAGGTTGCATTTTCTGTGCTTTAAAACAAATTATTTTCTTAGTTTTGTTGTCTAAAATGAAGAGATTCTAGAACAGATAGAGAAAAGTTATGTTATCAATGGCTATTACTTAAATATTTATTATATGCCAGTCACTTTGCTAGCATAGTAGATATAATGATGTGTGAAACACGACGCCTGATATATAAAACACATGAATAAATATGGTGGCTTATAGTTGATACAATTCAGTCAATAAGAAGTCACTCTGCAGAAGGGTAATGCAGAAAAGTTCTGAAAGAAAGAGGAAAGGTTTTATATGGGAAATGGCAAGGCACAGCATTCCATAGAACTAATATGAGCTAGCTGAAAACAGAACAAGTTATTTTCTAGGAATAGTGAAACTATCAAATTTTCTGGGGTAGAAGGTTTCTTTATAGAAACTCAAATATAAGGCAATAATGTCTTGGTAAGTCTCAATTGTAGGGGGCTAAGAGATTTGAAATTTTCCCTAGGCAATGGAAAGCCATTATAAAGATCAGTCTAAGACAGTGAGGAAACAGAAAGGCCTCTTGGAAAACAACTGTTTTGAAATGAGGTAGTGGCAGTGGAAATGGTAATGAAGGTATATATTATAGGGACCAAGAAATGGAGTTAAGAAGTGACTGATTGGAACTTTGGTGTTTATATTAGTCAGGGTTCTCTAGAGGGACAGAACTAATAGGATATATATTCATCCTAATATATATATAGTATATGTATATATTAGCTATACATATATAAATATATAGAGAGAGACAGTTAATTAAGGAGTATTAAATTCACATGATCACAGGGTCCCACAATAGGCCACCTGCAAGCTGAGGAGCAAGAGAGCCAGTCCAAGTCCCAAAGCTGAAGAACTTGAAGTCTGATGTTCAAGGGAAGGAAGCATCCAGCATGGGAGAAAGATGTAGACTGGGAGGCTAAGCCAGTATAGCCTTTTCACCTTTTGTGTGTGTGTATGTGTGTGGTTTTTGTTTTATTTTGTTTTGTTTTTGCCTGATTTATATTTGCTGGCAGCTGATTATACGGTGCATACCCAGATTAAGGGTGGGTCTGCCTTTCCCAGCCCACTGACCCAAATGTTAATCTCCTTTGGCAGTACCATCACAGACACACCGAGGAACCATGCTTTGCATCCTTCAATCCAATCAAGTTGACACTCAGTATTAACTATCACAGTGTTCTAAGATAAGTTAGAATGACCAGAAGAAGGTGCAGTAGTCCCTGGTTATCCATTATCTGAGGTTCTACTTTACACAGCTTCAGTTACCTGTGGTCAACCAAGGTTGAAAATATTGAAAGGGAAATTCCAAAGAGACAATTCATAAGTTTTAAATTGCCTGCTGTTCTAAGTAGCATGAGGAAATTTTGAGCCATTCCTCTTTGTCCTGCCCAAGAAGCGAACCTTCCCTTTGTCCAGCATATGCATGCTGTAACTACTGCCCGTTAGTTGCTTAGCAGCCCTCTTGGTTATCAGATTGGCAGTCCCAGGATCACAGTGCTTGTGTTCAAGTAACACTTATTTTACCTAATAATGGCCTCAAAGCACAAGAATAGTGGTGCTGGCATATTGTTATAGTTGTTCCGTTTTATTAGTAGGTATTATTGTTAATTTCTTACTGTGTCTAATTTATTAATTAGACTTTATCACAGGTACGTACGTATGGTAAAAAACATAGCATATATAGTGTGTGGTACTGTCTGCAGTTTCAGGCATTTACTGGGGGATCTTGAAATGTATCTGCTGCAGATAAATGGGGACTACTGTAATTTCTGAAAGATTGTAAGTTACTTATCTATTTGTTTGTACTTAAAATCTAGACTTTTTATTTAATGTGTATAGGAAACTCAACACCAAGCAAGATATATTTCCCTTTAAAAAATTCTGTAGCAATAATAATGGCAGTTTATGTTGGTACACTATCTTGTTTTATCTATGTTTGTCTTAGTCAAATGACTCTCACATAAATCACCTCATTAAAATCTGATTTCTCTATGAAGGAGTCAGGGTAGAAATTATTGCCCACTTTTTATATGTGAGCATGTGAGACAGAGAGGTTTGATCATTTGTCCAAAGTCACTCATCATGTAAGTGTCCAGGCTAGAAGTGGTCCCTTGTACTGTATTTCTGAGTCCAAGATCAGTCTTCCATAGCCAAGACAGCAAACCCAAGGCAGGAGGAGGAACGGCTGGCGGGGGATGAGCACACAAATTTCTGTGGTAATGTGTCATTCCTTCAATTGGTCTATAAAACAGAAGACAATTTAATAAAAGTGGGTAATGACTTTGCACTTTGTCATTAGGCTTAAATTACAGAAGTACTTCTCATCAGTTTCCAGGAAAGTGAGAAAGCAGGAGGAATGAAAGCTGGAAAAAGAAGTGGGTTTTTCCTTTTCCTTTTGAAGAAAGTCTAAATGTGTGTCTAAATGTGGAATTGTTTTGTGTGAATCACTGACCCCTTAATTACTGATCTCCAGAGCTATTCATCTGCCTGATCTGAGAAAGCCCACTCCAAATGAAGGTTTTTGGAGTCAACAGCTCTCAGAAACTGATCAAGACCCATTCATAGAACCCAAGCACGGAGGTTTGTATTGTTCAACACTAGAATTTTATTTAAGGTTTCTGAGACTTCAACTGGGCAAGGAGACCAATAGAACCTTAAGGTTGTATATGCCTCTGCTGATATCTGACACTGCTTTCTTGAATTAAAAAAATTAAATTGGGAAACTCTGGAGGCCTAAATATGTTACTCCACACTTGACCATAAATTGTATACCCCTAAGGAAAGTCATTTGATTATTCTGTGCCTCAGTTTCTCATCTGCTAACTGAGAATAAAAATCATCAATTTCTAACTCTATTCACTGATTCATTTAATGAATTAAATAACTTACTACATGCCAAGCTTAGTGCTGAGGAATAGCATGTAATAATACAGGTTCTAGCCCAAATGAATTTTAGAGACAATCTGGATAAATTAATATTAAACAAATAATTACAAAAATAATAATATTTAATATCATTTTTTGACGAGGCTTTATAAAGTGAAAGGGCTTCCAGATGTAAGATATAAAATGCTAACAATTTTAAAGGAGGGGAAGAGAGCTAAATTTATTCAGCTCCTGCTCTATATTAGGTAGTGTGCTAGGCTGCTTATATACATTTTCTAACTTAATCCTCCTCTCAACATACATTATTTGCTGTTACATATGTTTTCCCATAAAAGAATGAAGGCTCAGATAAGTTAATTGCATAAATTTGTCATATCATGACGCGTAAGAACCCAAATTCTGGAGTTAGGCTAGGTGGATTCAGATCCCAGATCTCCATCTTATTATCTGTGATCTTGGGAAGTTACTTAACTTTCCCGTATCTTAGTTTTCTCATCCATGAAATGAGAATAACACCAACTTCGTGGAGTTGTTGCGAGAATTAAATGAGTTCTTTGTGCCTGGCAAATACAGAGTGCTACATAAATATTAACTATTATATCATTCTTAATAGATAATTTTATGTGTCAACTTGGCTAGGTGATGGTGCCCAGTTGTTTGGTCAAACACCACACTAGATATTGCTGTGAAGATATTCGTTTTAGTTGTGATTAATGTTTATTTATTTATTTAGAAATGGAGTCTCACTCTGCTGCCCAGGCTGGAGTACACTGTCGTGATCTTGGCTCACTGCAACCTCCACCCCCGGGTTCAAGTGATTCTCCTGCCTCAGCCTCCTGAGTAGCTGGGATTACAAGCACCCACCACTACACCTGGCTAATTTTTGTATTTTTAGTACAGACAGGGTTTCACCATGTTGGTTAGGCTGGTCTCGAACTCCTGACCTCAAGTAATCCGACCGCCTTGGCCTCCCAAACTGCTGGGATTACAGGTATGAGCCACCATGCCTGGCCTGTGATTAACATTTAAATTAGTAGACTTTGAGCAAAGCAGGTTATCCTCCGAAATGTGGTAGGCCTCATCCAATCAGTTGAAGGCCTCAAGAACAAAGAATGAAGTTTTCTGAAGAACAAATCCAGCCTGTAGACCGCAATATAAAAAGCCTGCCTGAGATTCCAGCCTGCCTGCCCTGCCCTGTGGAATTCAGACTCAAAACTACCACAGGCGACTCTGACCCGAATTTTCAGCCTGCTGGCTTGCCCTATGGATTTTGGACTTAGCAGCGTCCAAATTGGATACAGCCTATTGGTTCTGTTTCCCTGGAGACTGATTAATACAGGTGGTAAAGCCTAACTGTGAATCCAACTCTGATTGCCAAGGTCTGTTCTTTCCTTTCTAGTCTATGGTCTCAAAGTTTCAGTCAACTTTCATGTAGTTCAGCTGGAAGCTGTTCCATCTGTGCTGCCCTCTTTTACAAATTGGTTTAAAAACAAACAAAAGTTTTCACTGAAAAAGGCAGTAACAGTTCAGTCAAAAGAGACCTGACTACAGGTCTTTTCTCCTCCCAGTCCAGAATGTTCCTTCCCTGAGGGCTTTGTCATGGTGAATAGGGACACATCTGACAAGTTATATTTCTTGCATAATAGAGAGAAAAGTTCAAAATGAGATTCTAGACTTTCATTAGTTTTTCTGCTGCCCTAATTTCTTTTGCTCCTTTGCTTTCACATCAGTGGCAGACTTTAATTAAACTGTGGCAAGTCTCCTAAACTTGGCGGGCTTTCCAGAAAAAAACAAGGGCATCTTCTCCCAGGGCAGATTTTTCCCGAGCCCTCCAGCTTGCATTTATTCTTCCCAACTGTCTAGATTAGTAGCCAGAAACCTTACACATCCTCAGATTGGGTTTCCTCTCTGCCTTTGTTCTCTTCCACTTAGGTTTTACTGAAAGTTCCTTATCCACGTATTACTGCCATGACTAATTCAAAGTAATATTTCATTTTTGGAATTATGGTAAATTACCACACTGGTTTATCATTTTTGATTCTTTTAAAGCACTATTCATAGCCACAGGATAAAACCATCATATCTGTATTTATGGATTAAATTAATGTATTCCTTTATTAGAGACAGTGATAAAATGAAAGGTGAAAAGGAAGCATGATCTTACTAGGCTGTAGACAATGACAAATAAATTAGGGATCATCTCAAAATGCTCCCGAAACTCAGTGGCTGTGTGCACTGGCTCTGTTTTATGCACTCATTTTGTGATTGTCAACTGTGTAATACAAAGAACTGAAACTTACAGGTAAGCACAGCACTGCTTATGTGACAAGGTTATTTAAGCAAACCAGTATCCTTCTTTACTTAAAAGACCATTTTCCTCTGCAGAGATTCTTCCGCAAGATGCATCACTGAACCCCTTACACCTTTAAATAATATGAGACAGTTTATAGGAAAAGTGCAGAGAATGGTGATGTAAAGACACTATGGACTGAATAAATAAGGAGACTCAGTGGCTGGACACTGACAGGGAAAGAAATCAAAAACAAATGCTGGGTTGGGCAAGTGGGAATATGTACGTATCTTCTGCTGAAGAGTGATAACACAAGAATAGAGGAAAAGGATATTGGGAAATGATGGCTGAAGAAATGGCTTTCAACACAAAACAGGTACAATTTGAAATGTCCAGGAAACAAGCAAGAAGAGAGAGAAACCTAAGACAAGTCATCTTCTGAAACTTAAGCAGTATTTGCCTGTATTAAACAGTAATCTTTCCCAAACACTTAACCTAAACTAATTATGGACAAATATATTCTAATGCAAATTAGGCACTGAATGTAATTAATTCAATAAATCCTTATTGAGGCTCTACCATGTGTCAGGCCCTCAACTAGGCACAGTAATTTAACAGTGAACAAGATAGATAGGGAATCTGCCTGCTTGATGCTTATAGTTAAGTTAGAGAAAGACACATTAAATAACCTGAAAATAGCTTATTATATTTAGAATTGTTATAAGTTCTCTAAAGAAAGAATACAGAGTATTATGAGAGTGCATCACAGGATAGGAGTTAACTGGTCAGAAAGCTCAAAATAAACCTCTATGAAACAGTAACATTTTCAAACCAAAAAATGACTCAGGCTTCGCACAGGCTGGTCCTTCTGTCCGGAGCTCCTCCTTTCCCTTAATCTGGCCAAGGACCTCTATTGGGAAGAAGCCCATGTTCAGAATGGCCGTGCTTACAGGGCATGAGTGACAAGAGGGGAATGGGGTGAGGGTGGAGGGTGGGGGGACCTGGGAAAGATTGCCACCGAGACTTACAGGTCACATGAAGAGTTGGAACTTCATTTTTAGTGCAAAGTAAAGCAACTTAAATATTTGAAGCAGAGGAAAAACATGATTGGATTTACATTTTAAAACGATGCCTTCTTTTGAGACTCCAACACTGGTAGAAGAGCAAGTGTAGGGGCAATTTGAAGGTAACCTCAGTAACTAGCTCAAATTGAGAGTCTGTTAGGCAGCAGCCCATGCCGTGTAAGTATATTAACTTACTTAACCTTGGCCTCCGCACTATGTGACCTGTTCAGGGCAGGACTCATGGGTGGGCACGCTACAGCTCAGTGGAAAAGTGCTGGTGCTCAGAGGGCCCCAGACTTGGGCTCTAAGGCTCTGTGGTCTCTGTCTTGAAATTCCTAATAATTTTTATCGTTGACTATCTTTCATAAGCCAAACTGCATGGGAAAATAGTGAGTGCTAGAGGGCTTGCGGTCTCAGCCCAGAAACATTTCACCTCCCCTACCCTCTCCGGATGGGTTCTTGGCTGCCTGCTCCCAGCTCCTTGGTACTGGGGCCCCACCAGGAGTCCCTCTCTCCATCACTTCCTCATGACCACTGCCAGCTTCGCCACTACTCCCTCTCCTGCAGTGACCAACTGTGTTGTGTGTTGGGGCTGGGAAAGGGCTGCATCCCACATCCATCCTTTGTTCCCAGCAGGGGCCTCTGCAGCAGTGTGTAAGATGGAGGTCAGGCACATGGGGGCAGCTGTTCCTGCCCTGGGCTGGCAGCACAATAGATAGTGTGTTTGGTGGGTGACTTGCCAGGGACAAGCCTCTCAATCCAGGTACTGAGCATATCCTGGCACAGAGGTTGAAACCTTGGAGGATCACCTGTCAGCCATGGGGTGGGGAAGTGGATTCCTGGCACTAGAAATTGATTTCCCTGATGAGGGTGGGGCATGGTGCCTTGGTCTGGCAGCTGGATGACCTGCTGCTACCTTCTGTGGCAGGGTGGGGCTCCTGCACACTTGTGAGAGTCTGCCTGTGTACTTCCTTACCTGAGGGAGTATGACGTTAAATAGCAAAAATGAAAACCAAAAAACACTGAAAAATTCTATATCTTAGTACCTTTAATAGTATTTTATCCTACTCTTTTGAACAAGAGGCCTTGCATTTCCTTTTGTAGTAGGCTCTGCAAATTATATAGTCTACCCTGCATGTTACTGCTACCTCATTTTACAGATATGGAACCTATTTTGTGTGGCTGGCTGTGCAACATTAGGCAACTTATTTAAGCGCTCAGAGTCAGGCTCTTAACCACCATGTACAACTCCCTTTCTAGAAAGGATACAGTTTTGCTTATATTTATTAAGGTGCTATTGAGGCATCTAAGTGGAAATATATAGATAGATGCATGTATATGTGTGTATGTTTTTTTTAATTATTTCTTTCGATATGAAATTTAGATTTGTAACTCTACCTATCTATCTACTTATCTGTCTATCTATGGGTCAGGATTTCAAAAGAGGGCATTAGAAGAAATTATAAATCTAAATTTTTTCTCATGAGGAAATTTTGGGAGCCAAGTCACATGTTCTGATGATAATCGTTCATTCATACATTCATCGATTTAAGAAATATAAATTACCTTCCTTCTAGGTACCAGATCCTGTTCTAAGTGTTGGGGGAACATAGTAGAGAACAAAACAGATGGGTTAATGCTCTTATGGATTTCATATCCTAGTTGAAAGGTGACATAATAATTAAATACATAACATAGCTAATGGAGAAAAGCAAGCAGGTCAGTGCAAAGGAGCAAGGCAAGTTGCTAGTGTAACAGAGGGGTCAGGGAAAGCATGGTATACGTGAGCAGAAACCCCTGAAAATAGTAAAAAGAGTGAGCTTCATGAGGAAAAAAAGTTCAAGGAAGCAGTCCAGCAATGCAAAGACCCCGAGACAGAAGCTTGCTTGTCAGGTGCAGGGAACAGCAAGGCAGCTGACATAGCTGGTTCAGAGTGAACAGGTGGGACAAGAGGAGGAACGTGGCCAGAGAGGTGATGGCAGGGGCAACAGGAAAATCAACTAGGGCTTTGTAGGCCAAAGCAAGGACTGTCTTGTACTGTGAGTGAGAAGGGAAACCTCGAAAGATTTTGAGAAGAGGAGTCACGTGATTTGACTTACGTTTTAACAGACTCATTCTGTCTGCTGTGCTAGAAATAGACCAAACCGAGCTGGGAGGAAGGAAAGGCAAATTTGGGGTATCCTGTTAAGAAATGCTGGATAGGATCTATGTAAAAATGATGCTGGCTTGGTCCAGAATGGTAGCGTTGGACATGCTGAAAAGAGGTCAGCTGTAGATATACTTTGAAGACGGAGCCAATAGGATTTGCTGACAGACTGGTCATGAGGAGTACAAGAACAAAGACAACTCCAATATTTTTGGCCTGAGCCATCACCTGTGACCAGGATGGTTATCGGACCAGTAGGTTTGGAAATGGAATGCCAGGAGCTATGGTGCCAAATCCCTATTAACCACAATAGGGAAGGCACCAGGTTCAAGAGGCTGAAGAAGAGACCCAGAGCCAGCAAACAAGGCAAAGCGTTTTACTAGGACTTACATATAAAACAGAGAGTACAGTGGTGGTGGGCTGGACAAGAGAGGCATCTTACATGCAGTCCAGTGGTGGTGGGATGGGTAACATAACCACACCAGTGGCAACAGGCTGAGCAGGAAACCACAACCACCTGCAAATAGCACGCAGTTTATAGAGCACTTTCACTTAACACCCTCCCACTAATGACCTCCACCTGGCAACCTTCATTTAACCCAAACTCAGGGCCTCCATCCCTTCTATGGCCCATGTTCCATAGGACAGACATGGAGCTCAGATGCTCATGATAGATAAGGAACGAATCTCCAAGTTGGCCACTCCCAGATTCCCTAGCTAGGAACACACACTCAGGTGCACCTGCCACATAGGGTCATTCTAAGAGTATGCTGAAGTTATTGCTCTCAGGTGCATTTACCTCAGAGGAATTCATTTTGGGGCATGTTAGGTTTTAGGTGCCTAATAGATATTGAAAAGGCAGTGAGTCAACAGGTTTTCATATAGTCTGGGTTTCAGGACAGTTGTCCTGGCTGGAGATTAAAATGTGTTGTCTTTAGCATATTGATGGTACTTAAAGCCACACTACTGGATGAGATCAACTAAGAGGAATTGTATAGAGAAATAACATATGAATAAAATGTGAATAGCCTGCAATATATGGAAGATACTTTAAGGACTCTTTAGTCTCATATCACAGATAGGAAATAGAAGAATGTTAAGTGACTTACCTAAATTTAGGTAGGAAATGACCATCAGGTCTCAAACCCAAGGCACCTGGCTTCAAAGCATGCTATTTAATATTACTGCCTTGATTATTATGCGCTCTGGGCACACAGTTTTTCCTCAGTGTTTGTTATTTTCTCCCCAGAGATTGTAAGTGTTCTTAGGAATCAGCCCTCCTATGTGCAAAGCACCTGGGGGAGGCTGCTGCAGGATAATGACCGTTGTTTTCACATCCTCAGCCCTCTTTATTAGTAGAATCATCTTTACATTGAGTCTCCTGCCTTGCAAAGAATCCAGGAGGGACTCTGAGAAAGGAGGTCACTGCAGTTGAGTGATTTTGCTGCAGTACAAAAGGACCACAGGATTTTATGCACACACTAAATCTCAATGTTCCTAAAGTTGATAGCTAATGCCAGAAGGACAGGCATGCCCTAGAGGCTGCTGTGAGCAGTGGGGTACTAGGTGGGTAGGAGCATGCGCCAGACTCCATGCCCCCGTGAGGCAGGGCAGTCTCCAGCCCACCCTTTCCAGGGGCAGCTGTCTCTGCTTCCTAACTTGGGGAACCCTATGAGATTCTTGTGTTTGGTTAATTTTAACTGCCTCTCTCTCTCTCCTGAATGCACCAACTTTTACAGTATTCACAGCTGTTAATTAATATAGACCTCTCTCCTTGAACAGCTCCTGGCATCCATAGTGAAGGTATGGATTTTCTTTCTCAATTGCTCTGGAGTCACCCCGAGGCTCTTAATTTGGGCTATTAGCCGTGGGTGATTTCAAAATCCATATTGATAATGCTGAGGCTGTGTGGGCCGCCTGCTGCATGGGCTTAAGTAAACAAGTGAGAGCCTTCTCTGTTATTTCTGCTGCAGCCTGAGTTTTCGGGGCTGCTTTCCCAGAGCTAAGCTGGGTCAGCTCACTCAAATCCTGCTCAGCAGCAGAATTGCAGAACACAACTGGCTTTTATAATGATAAAAACAACAATAATAGGATAATTAGTTAATATGATAAATTAACAGTCATTTTAGTACTAATTTTAGTTTGAATTAATAAAGTATTAATAGTCATTATAGAATAATTTTAATAAAGATAACTGTTTTTATTAAAATTTATTTAGTGAGTAACTACTACTTACAAGGCATTGTACTAAGCAATTGGTTTTTCATTGACTCCTCATACCTTCACTGTGAGAGCTTTTGTTTATATCCCCATTTTGCAGATGAGTCACTTAAAGTTAGAAAGTTTATGCAATTTTCTCCATCACAAAGTAAGTGGCCGGGGCTCAGATCTGCAACTGAGTCCCAAGCCACAATTTTAAACTGTGTTTTCAAATATTTGACTTACAGACTGCTTCCCAACCACTTGAATGTGTTGGTTAACATACAGATGATCACACCCCACTCCAGACTCATTTAATCAGAACCTCTGTAGCAGACCCCAATATTTATAGAAAGAACAAGCTCTTCAAACAATACTGACATGTGGCCCCGTCTGGAAATCTAGTGAAACTGCTTCATCCTACACATTTGACAAGCATAGATGCTCAGACTGGACTGCTTCCGTGTGAACCCCAAATTAATCATGTATATTTGAGGTACATCATTGACAAAGTAACTTAATCTGATCTGTGCCTCAGTTTCCTCATTTTTAAATGAAAGATAGTGTTAAAATCTACTTTAAAGTGTTGTTCAATACCCATGTTTTGAGCACTTATCATGTGTTAGGTGGACGTGGGCAAAATGAGGTGAGTTAAAACCTATCACGGGTTTTCTTTTTTTTTTTTTTTTTTTGAGATGGAGTCTCACTCTGTCGCCCAGGCTGGAGTGCAGTGGCACAATCTCAGCTCACTGCAAGCTCTACCTCCCGGGTTCACGCCATTCTTCTGCCTCAGCCTCCAGAGTAGCTGGGACTACAGGTGGCTGCCACCGCACCCGGCTAATTTTTTGTATTTTTAGTAGAGACAGGGTTTCACCGTGTTAGCCAGGATGGTCTCAATCTCCTGACCTCGATATCATGGGTTTTCTAATAGTGCCAGGCATACGGCATGTGTTATTGTCCATACACTGGTATTTGTGGGAATCAGAGCACAGCAGACTGTTGATCCAAAGCAAATGCCTTTGTATTTTTAATTCTTAAATACAGCCATAGTTTTAAATATGGGTAGAGGAGATGCTTCTCATCTTGATAACTGAGCAAGATTTGCAATTGAAAGCCCTGAGCTGGAATCTTACTGTGTCTCTTCCTATTCTGCGACTATTGTAAAGTCACATTAGCTCTTTTTAACTTAGCTGTAAAATGGGTTGATAGCAGTTACTATGTACTCCTCTGAAGAAACAACAGACATGGAAGTGCCCTTTGCAATGGTGAGAATTGTTGCACGTGAATAATTGCTGACTTTGAGAAGCACTAGAAAGAACTCTGAGTATCATAAATCTGTGCCACCTCACCATGCAAGGACTGCTCTAAAGACTTTAGCATCCACCATGGAGAATTTATTATTTGGAGTCAAGGCACTATTTCAGGTTAGAATGTAAATTACGAGCATGTCTTACACATGAGTACCTTCCTATTGAATGAGCCAATAACAGGTGTGGATTGCTGAATGGAACAGACATAGACATCACTCAGTTTACTTATCTCACATCACAGAGGGACATCAGTGTAGACATGCAGGGCAGGGTGGTCATAACATTCTCCAATGGGAGCTGCTCAATAAATAAATGTACTTGAAGTTTTAAAAGCAGGAAGTTAAGTGTCCCACTGTTTCCTTCATTTGCTTTCCAAAATTGTCATTTGTATGTTTTTCATTTGCTCAAAAGAATCCACACTTAAAGTTTTCTTAGTTTTGTTGTTTTTGTTTTTGTTGTTAGGCCATGACTAGTGTGGGAGTTGATAAATGAGATTATGAAAAATCTAAAGGAAGGAAGTCAAAAGCATTCATAAAACTCTCCACACACAGATATAGGCATGTTGATATATTTCCTTCCAAATATTTTCTATAAAAGTTCTTTTTGATGGATGTTGCCTTTATTTTTCACTTAATATTGGTATCATAAGCTGTCTCTATTTTTGAAAATTATTTAAACACATAATTTTATTGACATTAACAGTGTAGATGTGGCATAATTTATTCAGCCTACTACTGTTTGACATTTCTGTAATTTTGAATTTTCACTCATTGCAAAAAAGGCTGCATTTAAAATGTTAATGTGTAAATCTTCATCTTTATAATTTCTGATTATAATATTTATCTAAAAAAGTTTCCTCAACGGGCTGGGCACGGTAGCTCACGCCTGTAATCCCAGCACTTTGGGAGGCTGAGGCGGGTGGATCACAAAGTCAGGAGATCGAGACCATCCTGGCTAACACGGTGAAACCCGTCTCGACTAAAAATACAAAAAATTAGCCGGGCGTGGTGGCAGGCACCTGTAGTCCCAGCTACTCAGGAGGCTGAGGCAGGAAAATGGCGTGAACCCTGGAGGCAGAGCTTGCAGTGAGCCGAGATCTTCCCACTGCACTGTAGCCTGGGTGACAGAGCGAGACTCCATCTCAAAAAAAAAAAAAAAGTTTCCTCAAAATAGTTTCCACTTCCTTAAGGCTACTGATATTCCCAACCTACTTTGCAAGAAGGTAGTACCAATCTATACTCCCACCAGTGGTATATTAAAAAGCTCAATTAACCACATCCTTCAGAAAAGCTTCCTTTTACAAATAGCGAAAACTTTGGGATCATCATAAATTTTGAACAAGCAAATCTGAAATTATCTAGTTTCACTATACATTTACTTGCTGATTATTAATCCTGTACATTAACCAGTCTAATTCTAATCCCATACACAGAATTTTGTAGAGAAATAAATGGCTCTGCAAATCAGACTGGAACAACCTCAAGTTCACATATTTGTAGGCTATCCAACTGACCTGATCTTTTTTTGGGGATTCTCTGCCAATCCCACTGTAATCCATTCACTTATTCCACAAATATTTAATAAACTCCTACTAGAATCACCTCTTGATTCAATAAATAATTATTGGAATCTTACCATAAGACAGGGAACTAACCAGATTCTAAGGCAACATAGAGCTAAATAAGGCAAATATGCCCTCAGGGAGCATCCATGTAATGAAACAGGAGGTATTCAATGAGTAATTCCAAGTATGATAAATATCACGCAAGATAAAGGCAGAATGTCCTGGGAGCATATAATGGGTATATTACATCTATCTGAAATATGAAGGATGAGTCACAGTGGGTTAGCTGAGAAGTAGATGGAAGAGCATTGTATCAAGAGAGTACAGCAGATACGAAGAACTTGAAAAAGGAAGGCAGGTAACATCCTTGAGGAAGTGGAAGAATGCCAGTATGGTTAGAGCACTGAGAAAAAGGTGAAGAAGGGGACTAGATATGGGTGGAGAGGGTGTTGGCATAGTCGGATCTTGCAGGCCATTTACAAGTCAACATTTTGGCCCAAACACTGAAAACAATCAGATGCTTGAAGGCTTTTGAGAAAGAAATGAAATGACTATATTTGACTTTTCAAAAGGCAACTCCAACTGCTGTTTAGAGAATAAATTGTAAAAGGGGAAGTGCTAACTGGAGGCTCGTTAGCAGGTGAATGCAATCCAGGAGAGAGATGATGTGGGCTTGGACTTATGAAGTGGCAGAGACAACAGAGAGAAATGGGAATCTTAATATTAATAACTGTAGTGGCAAAGCTTATGGCCATTTGAATCCCTTATATAGCAGCTAGAGAATCTTCTCATCGCTTGCTCAGTGAGGATGAAGGATTGCCGATTCCCATTAATGCTGTAAGATCTTTCTCCCCATATTATTTACAGTATAAAGCTTCCCCTGGCCTTTCCTTTCCTCAGGCTAAATAATCCTATTTCCTTTTATCTTAACTCTTAGGATATACCAGTTCAAATTATTTAAATTGTTGTTACAAAATTTATTTTAGGGAGTGGTGGAAGGAAAGCCCCAAAGCTTTAAAAGGTGAATGTATATTTGTTATTTCCCTATTAGGCAAAGGGCACTTGAGGAATATTTTCAATTGGTTATTGTAGAAATGCTTCACATATGTAATAATCCATTAAAAAAGTGCTGGAATTTTATTGTCTATAAAACAATATTTTCATTCCATTTGTTTTGTTATAATTCAAAGAAAATATGACGGGACAGAAAGAAGTCTACAAATGATTTTTTTTTTTGAGGCATGAATACAGGAGTCTCCTCTGTTATAGGTAAAGTTGCAAGACTCAGAATGGTCACTTTGCTGAAATTCTATCAAGTTATTTTTGTTATGAAAGTGGGGACAGTGTTGATTCCCTAGACACTTCCACAGGCTTGATCTTCAATTCTTTGCCCCATTTCTGCTATTCACCTTATTAAAAAAAAAAAAGAGAGAGAGAGAGAGAAAAGTAAGGATTAAGGAGAGACCCTGGGTGACTTTATGTAGCTTCTCAAAATAAAAGCACTATATATAGTCAATGCATTATGAATCTGATTGTGTTTATATTCATGATTTTTGCAAACATCAACTTAGCCCCAGAAGCTTTTTGTTTTCTAATTCTGCATTCATGGAGGAATCCAGTATTAACCCTATGGCACAATGTTTTTGTTCCATCAGGAGAAACAGGAGGCAGGAAGCCTTCATTCATTGTTTATCTTTTCAACAGCCAGTTCCTTTCTCTTTTACCAAATTGTCGAACTTTGTATCTTTCTTTCCTCTCAAACAGGCACAACTCTACCTCTAAATGGCTTCACAAAATGACTGTGACTTAGTGATTGCATTTTTCCCTCTCATGAGCTAGCTTGCCTCTGTTAATTAGACGCTGACTTTGTGAATTCAGAGAGATGGATGCTATAAAAGTCAGAATGATATCTTTTCTGCCCTTTGCCTCATGAATTTGTACACTAACCCCTTATAATAGGCTTCTGTGTTGTATTTGATGTTGTCCATCACGTTACTTTTGATGACAGTATGGGCTGAGGATAACATTCTACCTAACCATGTTAGGCAAGCAGGGGTAGCAGGAGCTTGTCTCCCATAATTTCACGAAGACACCTCAACCCTGACCTTTAATTGATTCCCCTGTCCTCAGATCTATCTCCCATGATTTAAAACAATTATGAGATGCACTCAAGATAAAGGGATTTTGTCAGGCTCAAGGAGCGCCAAAACAAACCTCATATTCTTGTTTCTTTGCTGTTTGCAGTATTCGTAATGCTGAGCAAGATAAAATCACGGAGAAGTTAGAAGGGGGCATGAGGGAGGGATGGAATGGAGCTTCTCCCATTTCCCTGCCTTGAGCATTATGTATGCCTGTAATGATAAGGGTGGGTCAGAGCACTGAAAATCTGCAGCCGCCTCTATCACTTCCTGCAACCTGCACTGAAGCTTGAACTCTGCTTGTTCATTCTCCTGGATTAAATTCTTGTGTTTATTTATTTGCTATTTATAAAACTGCACCCTTGGCCAACTGCAGGGTTTGGGGAGCAAGTACACAGTTGAAACCAGCCAGTAAGCCACCTAAATGCCAGTATGGCAATCAACAGCTACTATCTGCAGGAACTGACTTAATGACCCCACTTCCTTCACACCAATCAGGGCGGGGATATTTACAAAGATGGGACTTCCTCGGAGCCCTGAGAGGAGTGAGGTCAGGCTTTCTTCTCTCAAGACTCACAAATCCTCTTAGAGCAATTCTGTGTTCTTTGTCCTCCTACTTGATTGCTGATAGCCAAGAGAGAAATTCAATTCCTAAAATGTCTGGGAAAATCTCTTAAACTCAGCAAAACCTTATTAATATAGAGCCTTTTGTACCTAGTCCAGGGTAGTACATGGAACAGGTGAACATTATTTAACTCTTTATTGAGTCAGTGTCTTCTGCGTAAAGGATAGAAATTGCAACTCTTTCTAATCCTTGTCTCAAGGATTTTTAAAGGACAGTTGCCATGGGCTCTTCAACTGAGAAGATGCAGGAGCAGGGAACCAGCCCCAGCCAATCAACTTTGTAAATGAAGGAAAATAGCAAACCTCTTGCCAGAATGAGGGTGGTTGGGGAATCTGTGACATTTTTGAAAATGTGGGCTTGCTGTGCTCTATGTTTAAAAGACACTACACAAAAGCTGCCTGATGGTTAGTCCTCCATGTACATATTTTCCATTACAACTGTCATTAAGGCTGAAGAGTAATGGTGGATACTCCCTATTCTGGTTCAGCCTCCACCCTCACCCTCCCTACCATGAGTTACACACATACCTGTTCCCTTTCACGCTTCTCCTCACAGTAGAGGATGAGAGGATCAAGTATACATTTAGATTCTGGTACACCATGAATTCAAATCTAGACTTTCTGCCTTTTTGGCTTTGTGACTTTAGATATTTCATTGACAGGTGCAAGGAAGGGGTTTAGTGATCAACGCATGGTGGCTGGTTGATTTTGCCGCTATAATTACAGATGTTACATTCTCTGGGACTTGGTTGCCTCCTTTATAAAAATTAGGTAAAAAATTTAGCAGGCAGGTAGGTTGTGGTGGCTCATGCTTGTAATCCCAGTGCTTTGGGGAGGCCGACGGGGGTGGGTCACCTGAGATCAAGAGTTCAAGATCAGCCTGACCAACATGGTGAAACCCCATCTCTACTAAAAATACAAAAATTAGCCGGGCATTGCGGTGGGCACCTGTAATCCCAGCTACTCTGGAGGCTGAGGCAGGAGAATCGCTTGAACCCAGGAGGCAGAAGTTGCAGTGAGCTGAGACTGCACCATTGCACTCCAGCCTGGGCAACAAGAGTGAAACTCCATCCCCAAAAAAAAAAAAAAATTACCAGGCAGGACTCATATGAAGTTTAAGCAAAATAACGCATTTTGACTTTGACTTTCCCTGACTTCCCCACAGCTACAAGGCAAGACATACTCCTCATGTACCCTCATGTACCATGTACCCCATTGGTGGCTATTTCCAGGTTTTATATTGTTATCTGCATACTTACGATCTCAACCAGGAGTCTAAGTTCCTTGAGGGAAGGGAAATTGTCTCTTTCTAGATTAGACTCTCAGAGACCAGCATAGGAATTAATAAGTACTCAGAACTATGGAATGGGTGGGTGGGTGGATGGATGGATGGATGGATGGATGGATGGGTGGGTGGATGGACGGGTGGATGGATGGATGCATAGTTTAGATGGATGAGTGCATTGATGGACAGATAGATGGAAGAAGAACCAGTTGGGTTTTTGGCCCTTAATATAATTTGAATAAAAATGTTAACATCTTTTCTTCTAATGTTGCCCAGGACACTCCATTGATATGCCTGTGCCTGTGCCAGAGTTCTCAGTCAGAGCTCCATTTCTGTTCGTCTCTGTTGCTCTTTCTCATAGTCATCAGATCTACTATGTTTCTTATTCTTAACATGAAGCTAATGACAGCTAGCTGTCTAGGTAGGGGGAAAAAGGCAATCTCATTGCCACATTAGCACAAAATAGCTAATGACGAACACATTTAGAGATATTTGTGTTTTCATCAATGACAGTGCCTTAACTGAGGATGGGTATATAAAAATGGCTTTTCAGGGCTCAGGGAGCATTTAGAAGCTGGAACTTTCTATGGTATCCAGCAGTCACAACCACCCCTCACCCATCTATCCTTAAGACATTTAAGTATAAAGTTAATTGTGAATAAGAATACCCATAAGAAGTCTCCTTTATTCCTCCTCTGATCAAGAAGAAACCTGTCATCAAGCTGTACCACACCCCCGTCAACTTGAAATACACAATTATGAGGCGTACTTGGATTTTTGCTTATATAAGGTGAGGGCTGGAGGGAAGGCTATTCCTGGTTTATTCCTGCAGCCAAACACCTGGTCCTCCTTTGACTAGGGCCAGCACACAAGCACTACTATCACTACACCCGTAAACGTGACCTGACCCAAGATCAGGCCTCGTGCTCTGACAGTAAAAGACTTATGGGACACAGGCATGGACTTGATTAAATCCAGACTTTCCTGGAAGAGGCTGAATGTGGTATTCTCCCACACCCATGTGTATGTAAAGAGGCTGCCTTAGCCCTAGCAGAATAGACCCTGGAGAGACTCATCTGATGTAGCCATGTGTGACCAGTGCTGTGGAGAGGCTTAGCATGCAAAGGCACCATCTCATAAGGTGAGGTAACAAAGGCACATTCTTCCAACCACGTTGAATGAGAAGAAGAGAAGTTTAAAATCTTCTAGTGTGGCAGCCAGTAAAGTGATTTGTCCAAGGTCATCCCTCTATCAGGGACAGAGCAGTGCTGTGTTAATGCCTTTAAAATTTGCATATAGCATTTTCTTTTTAAAACATGTTTTCATTACATTCGATTATTTAAAAACAAAATAATGTGTCAGCGAGGGGAAAGTCATACTTCCATTACATAAATAAGGAAAATGAGGATCAGAGTGGCTTTCTTATACCAAACCGGCTGATGAACCCAGGACAAGAACCATTATCCCAGCTCACAATCGGGTGGGCTTTCTGTGTCTTTTGTATTTCCTTTGTTTGGTAGGTTATGTTTTAGTTTTAAAGTACAATGCCACACAAAACATATCATATCCTCTGTTTGAAAGAAGTAGCGCATTAGCAGGAGTCATGAACAGACGCATCAGAACCTTCCCTCCTCTGTCAGTATTCAGCTAGCTGACCTTGGCATTCCAGGTCATGGCTCTGGGCTTCAGGCTCTCCACCTTCAACATGGGGGTCATGGGGTGGGTACAAGGTGCTACATGGTCTCTAAGATGCTTTCCATCTCCTTTAAAGAACTGTCACAAGTTTTGTTCCTACTTTGTGCCAGGCAATGCTCAGGCAGCTGAGTCATACATGGGTCTGTCCATAGCCCTTTAGTTGTTGTGAGACCTGTTTCTTCTTTTCTGGTCTCAGTGGAGAAGAAAAATTTGGCCACCATTACAAACCTGATCTCCCAATGCTTATTTATTTTTGCATCTTATGCTGGAAAGCATCCTTTCAAGAAGGCAGCACAAATATTATAGCCCAAACGTGCAGGTGCTTTAGCAAAATAATTAAGGCTGTGGGGTCTAAAGTGAGATAGAAATGGGAATGAGTCCATGATTCACTAAAATCTAAGAGAATGACCTTCTAAATACTAGTATTAGGGCAGTATTAGTATTAGTAATCAGAAACTGAAACCTGGGGAGGTTAACTGTACCTCGCAGCTAAGATATGGCCAGGGCACAACTGTTTTGTATAATAGGACTACAGAATAGTGAACCCGAATACAGGAGTGATGGGAGGAGGGAAGGGAGGCAGCACATTCAATATAATAATTATTACAATGTTATAATTTAGTACTTAAAATACACATTTTATTTTTGTAATATACAATAGAAAAAAAATTTCTTACTACAAATTCTGCCAAATTCTTATGACATCTGGGGATTCATGGCACATATCAGATTTTGCAAAGGAAAGGCATTTCTTATGTTTCTCAGATGCAGATATGGACTCGCAAAACTAAGGAACCCAAAAGTAGCTTTGCCACTGTGGGGCCTTGTGCAAGTGGCTTAACCTCTCATGGCTTCAGTTTCCTTCCATCTGAAATGAAAAGTTGTACTCTGGCCTTGCAGAGCAGAGCAGGGGTGAGGAGAAAGAACATCCCAGGTAACATGGCAGACAGTGGAGTCACCGTTCCCTTCCTCCTCCCGTGCAGATTGCCCATCTGGTGATCTGTTTTGTGCCTCTCCCTGCCTTCACACCCACACATACACCCCAAGGAAGCCTCTTCGCTTCCCTCTCCTTTAGGCTGGGTGTTGCTTCTGGCTTCCCTGACAGAAGAGGTGCTGCTCATTACTGCCTATATTTCTTCTTCCCCAAAGTCAGGAGCCAGGGATGCCAGCCTCTGAGGGTTGACCTTGCTGTCTCAGCCAGAGTGTTTCCCCAGGCCTAGCCAACAGCAACACACCTCAACTCAGAAATTTTTGACCTTTTCCCAATGTCTCTTTGTTGGTTGCCTCTGTCCTTTCTAAAAGCCTAGTATTGATGTTTGCCCCTAATAGAGAAACGTAAACAAGAGATAGATAAAGGTTAACAATACCCAATCAATGCTGCGGAGAGAGGCAGCACAGGGAAGGACGTATTGAAAGGCCAAATGTAAGCGGAGCTTTCCTGACAGTTTAATTGCATTTATTCCACCCGCCAGCCTCCTCCCTCCCAGCCCTTATATGTTGAACCAATAACAGGGCTGCCCAATAGTCTTTCATTTCAGCTATGCTGAGTTATTTCTTATTCTTTTTACTGCACGAGAAGAAAAACTTAAATGCAAATAGATATAGTATTGCTTTCTTAATTTTTAAAAACTCACTCTTTCCGAAACATACTCACAGGTTGTCTATTTTCAGTTGTATTCTATGTTACTCTCCTGGCCTGTGAAATATGCTCCATCTCCTCCTCACCTTCTGTTAAACTTAACCCACCAAGAAAGCCTAATTCCCCTGCTGGCCTCCCCATGAAGCATGTCTCGAGGCCCCAGCCTACACAAGAGGAATCCCTTTCTCTAATCACAGCCATTCTATCATAGCTTCCTTGGATCTGTCTCTCACAGACTAAAATTCTCACCAAAACTCAAAATGTGTGCAAGGCAGGTATTATTAATATAGTTGACAGAGGAGGAAAGTAAGGCTTGAAGGCATTATATGCATTTCCTGTGGCCATACAAAATGTCACAAGTTTTGGAGTTAGAAGTTAATGTTAAGATGTAACTTCTACTTTATTTTCTATCATTTTATGTACTTAATTTAATTTCTTTTAAAAGCAGCACAAGATTAATTAGTCGATAGCTTGTATCTTAACAAGGAAGGAAGGAAGGAAGGAAGGGAGGGAAGGAGGGAGGGAGGAGAAGGGGAGGGAGGGAGAGGGGAGGGAGGGGAGGAAGGGAGGGAAGGAGGAAGGGAGGAAGGGAGGAAAAGAAAGAAGCCCCATCATGACAATGAATAAACCACTCACTGGCAGAAGACTATGGATGAGGATCAAATCTTTACTAATTAATACCAATATTATTTTTCCTTATATAATAATTTATTTTGTCATAATTCTTGTTTTCTATACCTATGCCTCCCTATTACCCAGCTTATAGTTTTCCAAGAGCAAAAATTATATATTAGCTCCTTTAAAAGAAACTGACAGGTAAAAGCCTGAAATTGAAGAAGAAATCATGGGTGCTTGTAGAAGGAGTGTCACTTAGCAAAACAAAAAAAAATTTATGTCTAAACAATTCTTCCTTTACTCTATTTTATAAGATTAGTTTTCTCTACATTTGATTTACAAATTTCGAGGTATAAAAACACACATGTGGCAAAAAATTAGAGGCATCGGAATAAAAAACCTGTGTTCTTTCTGCTTTATCTATCATGAAGCTTGTCCATCTCTGTATGGCTTGCAAATAGCACAATACATGTCTAGAAACCTCATACCCCATGAAATGTGTACAGAATAATGGTTTTATTTGAGGAGAGATTCTGCAAGTCAGTAACTGCATGGTTCTTTCCAAACATGGGGAGAATGATACCAAGGTTTCTGCTCCCTCCAGAGCAGAGAAGAGGGAAGAGGGTGCCAAGAACTGGGAACCCAATTCATTTTCTGTGTTCATCTCCATTTATATGTTACAGGAAGATAAACAGCAAAATAACGTTGCATCGGAGAAAATTGCATCAATTTTTAATTATGCATTTAATCATCCTCTTCCAGAAGGGCGGGCTGTCTTTCGTGACATTTTTACATATTTGAAAGCAGCACTGTGTGAACACAGAACAAGACATTTGGTTTATTAGATGTCACAGACAATTTTAACTGACACTGATGGGTTGATTCAGGGGGCAAAAGCCTTTTAAGGGGTGTGAGAGCCAGACACGAAAGAGACATGCAATACACAGCCTCAGAAATTTTTCTTCCAATTATTCACTTAATTAATTTGCTAAGGAATTTTCTATAAGGTATAATGTTCTAAATGTTAGAAATACATAGATGAAAGAGGGCACCTAGTCTGAAAAAGTTCACAGTGTAATTATTGAAGCAAGCATCCCAATAAATAAATGAAAATATACTGAGACAAGAGCAATATTAATAGACACAGGGAAAGTTGAGATTGTCTTTATCTGAGGTGAGTAACCACAAAGGTTTCTGGCTTCTCCGAAAATATTTGGAAGATTCTGAGCAGGCTTTTGAGGGATAAATAGGAGCTTTGAAAGGAGGCAATATGGTATTGTGTGTATGCTTGTGTGTGCCCTTCATATGCCCAGGGGCACACTTCAGAAGAGGAGGAGGTGATTTCCGGCTAGAAGAAACAATGCTTGCAAAGGCCTGTAGACATTTTTAAAAGTGATATTGTACCTTTCATAATAGAAATGACCAATGGTGGATGCAGTGCACAGATATTGAATTATGTTTTATAGTTCTGTCAACACAGAATATTTGTTTCTGTAATACAACCGAATGCGATCAAGGTAAGATATGAGGACAAAGCTGAAATTCTTGTGGTTGAATCTGCCTTGACTTCTGAAATGTACCAAAGTGCCTTTACTTCTTTTTTATTGTTGTTCCTTGGCTGTATTTATTTATCTATTTTTTGATTGTGGCAAAATATACATAACATAAAATCTGCCACGTTAGCCATTTTTAAATGTACTGTTCATTGGCATTAAGTATATTCACAATGCTGTGTTACCATCACAACCATCCATCCACAGAACTCTTTCCATCTTTAAAACCGAAATGCTATACCCATTAAAGCACTCCCCATGTACCATTTGCCAACATCCCTGGCAATCACTATTCCACTTTCTGTCTATAAATTTGACTATTCTAGGTACCTCATGAAAGTGGAATCACAATATTTTCCCTTTTATGATGGGCTTCTTTTACTTAGCTTACTGTCCTCAAGGTTCATTCAGGTTGTAACCTGTGTCAGAGTTTCTCTACTTTTTAAGGCTTGGTGATATTTCATTGTATGGACATAAAACATTTTGTTTATTCATTTATCCATTGATGGATACACGGGTTGATTCTACCTTTTGGCTATTGTGAATAATGCTGCTATGAACATGGGTGTACAAATATTTCCTCAAGGCCCTTCTTTCAATTCTTCTGGGTACATACCCAGAAGTGGAATGACTGGATTGTATGGTCCTTGTTAAGAGTAATGCTTAGGATATAGCTAAGATACCTGAGATGGTTTGGAGTTGTTTCCCCACCCAAAATTCATCTCAAATTATAATCCCCATGTGTTGAGGGAGGGACCTGGGGAGAAGCTATTGAATCATGGGAACAGTTTCCTCCATGCTGTTCTATGATAGTGAGTGAGTCCTCATGAGATCTGATGGTTTAAAAGAGGTGATTTGCCCTATACTTTCTTTCTCCAGCCTCCATGTAAGACGTGCCTTGCTTCTACTTCACCTTCTGCCATGACTGTAAGTTTCCTGAGACCTCCCCAGCCATGTGGAACTGTGAGTAAGTTAAACCTCTTTCCTTTGTAAATTATCCAGTCTCAGATTGTTCTTTATATCAGTGTGAAAAGAGACTAACACAATACCCAACTCTGCTCTGTGGGGAAAAGTCTTTGCATTCAAAGTCAGAAAATATGGACTATCATCCAATTTGTATGATTACTTGCCATGCAGACTTGAGTAAATCACTTTAGTACCTCATACTTAGTTTCCTCATTTGACAAAATAGTATGTTAGACTAAGTATTATCCGAATCCATTTTAGCAGTGGCATTCCACAGTTCTATGCATGTGGTAGTTGTGTCTCCTCTTGGACTGCTGAAGGAACGGGACTTGGGTTATCCATTATGATCACATTATATACCCACATTCTGCCTTGTCCTAGGTAGGTTGAAATAGCATACAATTTGATTGCTCATGAAAGCAAGGATAGTGAGAAGTCTAGTTATAAATGCAAATGTAAACATGCAACATTTAAATCACAGTATATTACATAGTCTAATTATAGGCTAGTACTTTGTCCTAGAGACCCTATGGCAGTGGTGGTGCAATAGATCAGAGTGCAGCTTCTGGAGGCAGACTACCTGGGTTTGAATCCTAAACCTCCACTAACTAGTTGTACGACCTTAGGCAAGTTATTTAAACACCCTATGCTTTAGTTTTCTGATTGCAGGAATAAAACATTTCCGATCTGTTTTATTCTTTCTAACAGTTATGAAGCATTCCATTGGATGGATGTAACATAGTTGATTGATCCAGTGTCCTATTGAAAGACATTTAGATTATTTTCAGTGATTGACTATAAAAAAATTCAGTAATTTTTATGTGTATTTGTATTTATTTTCTGAGAATATTACTTAGGAATAGAAACCTAGAGGAGGAATTGAGGGGTCAAATGTTACGGATGTGTTTAAATTTTTAATTTATTATAGATATATACTAGCTGTACATGTTTATGGGTTATTCTTGGTGGTGGTGTTTTTTTTTTTTTTTTGAGACGGAGTCTCGCTCTGTCGCCCAGGCTGGAGTGCAGTGGCGCGATCTCGGCTCACTGCAAGCTCCGCCTCCTGGGTTCACGCCATTCTCCTGCCTCAGCCTCCCGAGTAGCTGGGACTACAGGCGCCCGCCACCACGCCCGGCTAATTTTTTGTATTTTTAGTAGAGGCGGGGTTTCACTGTGTTAGCCAGGATGGTCTCGATCTCCTGACCTCATGATCCGCCCACCTCTGCCTCCCAAAGTGCTGGGATTACAGGCGTGAGCCACCGCGCCCGGCCGGTGGTGGTGTTTTAAGGCAAAATTTGGAACAATTTGTATGCCATACTACCTTTTCTGTAAAAAAAAAATCATGCATATTGATGGCAAGAAATTGGCAATAGCAGTGACCTCTGGATGGTGAAACTGGGAGACTAGAGAATGGGGATGGGATAGGAGAGCAGCATGCTTTTCAAAGAAAACCTTTTAGTTGTGTTTGCATTTTCTACCTTGTACATGTGTTACTTTTACATCAACATAAACTGTTTTAATTAACTAAAAATTAAATAACAGAAAATAATAATATACACTTGATAGTATATTCATAGTATTGTTACGAGTGTTAAATAAATACAATAGCTATAGTGGTGCATGCCACTTGTCCATAATTTGCTTTTATGGTCCTCTGTATGTTATATGCCCCTTCTTGATAAACTCTGCTTACTTTCCCCAGCAAAGAGTAAATGTTAGAACGTTGTAATCTGAAGTATTCTGAAGCTCTCAGATTCTGTGCCCTCACCTTTATTTTAACCTCAATTTCTCCTCCTCTTGTCTTCTTATATTTCTCTTTCCTTCAATCTTTGTCCACATTCATTTATGCTATTTATCTTGATTTATTTTTTGTCTCCCCACTTCTCCACTCATTCTTCTCATTCCTCCTGTTACCTACTAGTCTTTCTCTCACTTTTCTTTATCTTTCTTCTGGCTCCTACATTGAGATAAGCTCGTCTGTACAGGTGAAGCATTTAAGATTCTGAAATAAAATGAGGTCACAGATTAGATGCTGGCTCCTATAAAGGCCCAGGATACTCAGTGGGCATTTTCTGGGATCTTGAGGAAAGGACAGGGAAAGCTTAATTCTAAAATAGCCCCAACTACTTCGAAATCCTCTGAAATCCTATATCACTCCGTTTCACTTTTGTCAAATTAGTTTCTTGAGTAAAAAGTAAAAAAGAAAAAATAATCCTTCATGCAAAGCTTTCTTTTTTCAAAAAGAAAGGTATTATTACATAACTACAAGGTCATTTTCAAATCTAATAGCAATAACAGTATTTTTTTAAATTATCTAATATCTATGGTTGTCCATGATTGTCTATAAAATGTCTTTTACAAGTGATTTATTTAATTGATGTGTAAGGAAAAAGTCCATCATTACCTTTGGTTGTTCTAAGTCTTTTTCAGCCACTTTTAATCTAAAGCACACCCTCACTTCTCTTTTTTCACATTTGTTATTTGTTGTATAAACTGGGTTAGTTGTCTTGTAGAAAGTTCCCCATTCTTAACTTGACTAATTATTTACTTGTGCATCATTTACCTATCCCCCATCTCTTGTGGTTTCTACATGGACTGTAGACTGTAAATTAGATTCAGGTTATGTAATTTTGGTAAGAATGTTTCACAGGTGGCACCGTTCAGATTGCCTCCCACCAGGCAGCACATAGTGTCCGTCTCACTTTTAGTGATGCTAAGATTGATCTCAGTGAGTTCAGGTGGTAACAACATAGCTCCGCATTGCTCTGTGATTGGCACGCAAAGCCTAGATTGAGAGATTGAGTCATTCATTGAAGTATCATGGACAGTGCCTTTCCGCCTTCATGGAGATTTTCAATCAATTCTAAAAGACTGGGTGGCTGGATAAACAAACACCTCCCTCCTAGAGTTGATGCACCCTTTACAGTCCTGAGAGTTTGCAATTTGCAGGGACCGTTCAAAACACTTTACAAATCTTAATCCATTTATGCTCACAAGAATCATCCACATTTTGCAGGTGAGACACCCGAGGTAGTAAAATGTTACAAGTGACTTAACTTGCCAAGATCACATCACTGCCACTGAAAAGTGGCGGTAATGAAGTTCAAACTCAGGATGTCAGATCTCAAAACCCCACTCTCAACCACTTCCCCTCCCCACCTTTTCTGCATAGGTTACCTCAAACCCAACTTTTTCTAGGAAGCCAGGCTTGACTGCTCCAGTACTTTTCTATATCTCATGTGACATAATGTAGCACCTAAATTGTAGAATGTCCTGTATTCTGTATTCTTTGCAGAAGAGAGCATAATCTACCTGAAGACATGAGATGGGGAACCTAGAAGGGGAAAGTTTATTTCAGGCTATTCCTTTCTAATTTCTCTTGGGGAAATTTACCTTCTATGGGCTTGGTTTCCTGCTTTAATAATATTTCTCTCTTACAGTCTTTATGAAAATTTGATGAAAAACCATAAAAGAATTTTGTAACCTTAAAACAATGTCCCAATATTTTTCATTCATTCATTCATTCATATTATTCTCTCTTCCTCTTTTCCTCTCTCTCTCTCTCTGTCATACACACCCTCTCCATTGTTAGATTGTGTCATTCTTAAAGTCCAGGGACCTCCTATCTCTTCCTTTATTCTCTCCCACAACTTCCACAATGTTTTCTGTTGTTGTTGTTGTTGTTTTGTTTGTTTGTTTGTTTTGCTTAGGACTTTTGCTGGAACATCAGTCACTAAGACTTGCTGAACACTGAAACATTCAGGGGCTCTGTCCTTATTTACCACCAAAAGCTTTATTTCCCCATGGACTCCCATGCCAAAGATGACTTAGAAACCCTGCAGGTCTTCTGGAGAGTTCTGCAAGCCCTGGAGAGTTGCCATGTCTAGCACTCTTGACAGCATTACATAGGAGGCAAAGAACACCATTTATATTAAAGTCACATTGATTTACATTCTACTTAGTTACATCATTCACACATGGTAAATGTGCTTCTAATTCAGAACCACCCTTGGGCAAGATTATGAGGTTCCCTAACCCTTTGGTGTCTAACCCTTTAACTCATCTCCCTTCCAAATCTGCATGTAGAATTCCCCTGATCTTCTTTAGGGTAAATTAATTTTTTGATGTGTGTGTGTTACTATAAAATGGAGGCTTATGTCTTATTTATCCCTAGTGCAGATGAGTGATTTAACTGAAGTCTTTGAATGACTATAATTTTACACAAGAAATTAGCTCCACGAGTAGAAATTTTAAGCATGCTATTGGTGTTAGGGCCAAATAGGAAGGGATAGAATTTGAGACATGTAGACATTTCAGAACTCATCAAAGTGACTAAGAAAGAGGCAAGGCTGCCCATTCTACTATCTGTAAGGCAAGTCTATTCTTGACGTAAAGATTAAGAAGTTCTGAATAATTATTTCTCTTGTGAACTTTTAGGGACTGCCCATAAAATAAGCTGAGGATAGTCTGAAGTTCATTGCTGTATTACAATTCGAATAAAGCTTCTAAAGGTTATTATTTGCATCTTCACCTTATAAAATGAAACACCTAATTGCTATGTGTTGACCATGGTCAATTTAATCAGACTTAGTGAGCATTTACTCAGTAGAGTAGGTCATTTAAGTCCAGAAAGATACTAATGCCTCCTTCCAGATGTTTATGCATAGGCAGAACCATGCAGAGAAATGTAAATGGATGAATGTGAATTCAAATCTTGACACCGTAAATTACTAATTAAAAAGTTACTTAACTTCTTGTACCTCAATTGCCTTCTCTGCAAAGCAGGAAAAATAAGGCTAATATTCCAGATATCCTGTTTTATGAGTATCTTAAAAAAGACAATATAGGAACGTACATGGCATACCATGGTCTTTCAACAAATATCAGTTTCTTTTCTGTCTGAATTTACTACAGATTGTGCTATTTGTGGCATAAGTGCAAGGCACCACAAGCCTACAGAAAACAAAATAATTTTGACTGAGAGATGTTTCGTAGTAAGACTGTGTCATATGTCCTGTGTGACCCTTAATTTCATACTTTCTTTTAATCTCATTTAATTTTGTATTCTAATGTTCATTAATCTCTTAAGTTCAAATATGTAGAGTTTGGTTTAGAAAAATATCCTCATAGAAAAATGTTTCCAATTCAGACTCTACCATGTCCAGAAATCTTATCTTTGTCCAGTAAGCAGAGATTTCCTCACTCTAGATTCTCTATCATTCTTGGCCTTATTTCATTTCTCAGCCACATCTAGCCAGGATGATGAGATCTTTGAGCATTATTACTTAATGTTACCATGTATCTCCCACAATCAAAGCCTCTGCAGCTTCATGGCCTTAGCCTTGTTTCAAACACACATACACACATGCACACACACACACACACAAACACACACACACAGAGAAACTGAGTTTCTAGTAAGGAGTTAGGTTTTTCGTTATTTTATTTTGAGAGTAATAATCACCAAACTCCTGGGCTCTCAGTTTATGTTTGCTATTTGCAAGACAATATAAATCTCATAATAGTTCCTCACTGATTCCTTCTTGTGTCTTTTGTGTTTTTGTTTTTATTTTTGTCTTTTCTCCTCTCTTCTGTTTTTCCTTCTCTTTTTGGATTAAACTCTCTCTCACGGAATACTTCAGTACCCACTTTATGCTCTGCATTGTTCAAACATAACCAGACACATTCTATATTCTTCTCTTGTGTTTCAAATAAATGGGCAAATGTCTGGTTGAAGCAAATGGGAGTCCAGGCATCAAAAAATAAGCTCCCAAAAAGCTCATGTGGGTGCCCAGAGCCAAAGCCACATAGCCAGAAAAGGCTCTGCATTCTGTCATGCACACAGATGTTTATTTGTTCCTTATAGAAAACAAGGTGAGTAAGTGAACATTTGGGTTCCCAGCACGGGTGCAAACACTTGCTCGCTAAGTCTGCATTACAGATGGTCATAAGGAGAGAGCTAATCATGTGAAATGGGCAGGTTTATGCCATTTTGAAAACGTTTTCTGGGCAGAAACAAATTTACCCTTATAGTTGTGTGTACTGAAAGATCTATCTTTGTCTGAAGTAAGGTATCTTTTTTTTTTAACTGTTGTCTTCAGCTTCATTGCTTAGCACTTAAACTATGCTGCCTTGTAATAATACATTTTCTTTTTTTATAAAATAAGAAAATAAATATAAAACTTGATTTCTGCACCTAAGATCTTGCATCAGTTGAAAACACAATTCTCTACATTTGCCACTTCAACTACTTGGTTATTTAATTAGTTTACAAATAGACCTGTATTACGGAATTAAAACAAATCTTCCTTTGCTATTTTGTACATTGCTTGCATCCACCTGACTGCAGTTAATAAATCCTTGAGCATGATCATCTAATCCCCTGCAAAGAAATAATAAAGTCCATGATTCCACATTAAGCTATACATTTGCTTACTGTACGTTGACTTTTCTCTTTGTGCTGGACCCTGCAAAGAGGCAGCTATGATGCAAGGAGAGTCTCAACATCCTTGAGCCACAGTTTTCTGCTCCATAGAATGGGAATAATTATTTTGAGCCATTGAGGATAGTACGAGAACTTAGTTTTTTTGTAAGCCACTAAGCCACAAATCACTATACAAATGTTGGGTTGATGCCATTTTCTTTCCTGGCTTATTTTCACTTCTTTTTAACACACTCATATATATATATATATATATATATATATATACACATATATTTTTTTTTGAAGGCCAAGGTCCTGAAGACTCTCAAATCCAGTCTTTATTTATGAACACCTACAACCATATTCTATAGTCTTCATGGTCTGAAAAATAAGTATATCATGTAATTCCTGCCTCACTTCTTTTTGGTGGCAAGCAAAGAACTGATTTCAAAGAAGTTTAAGCAAATAAAGAGGTATGTATTTGTGTTTATGTGTTTAAGATAAAGTGACTGTCTCACAAAGACCAAGGACAAGGAATTCTGCCGGGCTTGGCAAAAAACTAAAACCAGAATGGAAAAGATTTCAGAAACAATTCTGAAAGCACTCCACTTCTGTTTTCTCATCTGCTTTATTCTCCTCTCTTCTTCATGCCCATGCTGAAGGATAATGCTCTATGACTCCCAAGTATATATAACCACTGTTGAAGCAAGCACACTTCCAAATTTCAAGGAGAGAAAATGTTACTGGCTCATCTTGGGCCAGTTATCCACTCGTGGCCCGTACACATGGCTGCCTCTGTTCCTCCCTTTTGGTAGACAGAGTAGTCATGGGGTGTGTTGGGACAGCTGTTCTAAAATGATGGTTTACAGAAGTTACATAAATGCCTCAAAAGTCAGCTTATATAATTACATTCTCTTCTGTTGTATTTTCTAATTATTTCAGTTCCCAGAGAGATTATAAGTTTGTATGACGCCATGTTTAACTAAATAAGAAATATTCTGTGCTTATGTGTTCTCCACACCCACCAAAACACACAATGGTACTTGAGAAATATTTACTGGTTTAATAAAAGCCGAGCATATTAAATAGACACACTGACATGGTCTATATATTAGAAAAATAGCTATATATAATATTAAGTATTATATATATTTATATAAATGTATGTTTATATTATTTGTGTATGTATATATATTTTAAAAAATTTAAGCCAAGACCTGAATGAAAGTAAGCTATGAATCATTTACTGATTAGTATGTCGGAAAGAAGCAAAAAAGTTAATGTGTCCTTTGAGCTAGATGAGAAATGTGAGGGGAAACAGTCAATGATGATCAGTCTTCCCTACGGACCGTATGTGAGACCTCTCATCTAGTATGCTTCATCATGAAAAATCCTTAGATTGGGGAGAATTTTAAGAAGACTGACAGCCCCCTTATAAATATCCATAATTGCTTCTATTTAGAAAAATGAGGAATTCTGAACTAAGGCAAAAGGGAAAGAAGGATTGGGGAGAGAAGTGTCCTCTTTGATCATTTTTCCAAAGGGAAATTGTAAACATTTCAGTTTTGCTATCCATTTTCATTGACTTCGGAATCTCTGTTTCACGGTGGATTTATAAGACTTTAAATATTCACCACCATAATCCATGCCTTAAAGATGAATTATTATTTTTTAACCAGCATTAAAGTTCAAAAATGGAATAAAAGCTTTGCTCCATGATCAACCAGATTATCTCTCAGAAAAAAGAAATAGAAGAACAAGTCATATAACAAGATTTAGACTTCATGGGGAACACATTTTACGTTGTCTCTTTTGAGGGAGAATTTCTCGTATATGTTTCCCTAATCTGAGGGTTTGGAAAAGAAAGCTCTGTTCTAGGTTTTATAGTTAACTAGATTTAGCACATTTAAATTTCAGAAATGGGAAAATGATCTGTAAACAAAATCAAATTGCTAGCTAGTTGCCCTTGGATAGGATCCAGTCTGAATAGCATTGGCCTTGGATGGGATCCAGTTTGCACAGTAGTAGCTATTGTCTTTAAAAACTAAAATTATGGCCAACATTTAAAAATCTGGCATTTTCACATTAATTTTTGGAGTTCTAGCTTTATCTTAAGAGATTTACAATTCTATGCAACAACTTGCTGAGTTTAGAAGAGGTTGCCCCCTTTTAGTTTTCCTTTGTTCTGTTTATCATAGTCCCATGCCTCTATTGTCTTTGGACCCTGAGGATGCATGCCAGTGATCATTTAATACAGCATTCTTTCTTTTGTTTCTCTTATGATACTGTTAAGTGGAAAGTGTTTTGGCTCTTGTCCCAGCACTCTATTCAAAGAAAGTAAACCAAAGAAGGACTGAGTGACCATATGTTTCAAGAAAAGTGAGAGAGAACATATGTCTTTCTGGAAATAAAGGACTCTCTTCCATGTGTATATGTAGGCAGGAAAGTAATATAATTTAAGTCCCCACTATAAAATAAACCCAGGCTGCTTCATCCATTTTCTATTAAACACCCACGGGAACTAGGTCCTTGACTCATAGATTTATTAGACCTCCTCTAGTTCTAATACTCGGTTATTCTACAGAAAATTCTAAGTGTTTGATTCACCATTTTGATAAATGTAGCAAAATAATTTCCATGTAGCAATGAAAATAAATGGTGGAAGAAAAAAATAACAGTATTCTTTAAAGAGATGAATACAAAACTAGGGATAGGAACTCAAAGCTGGAATTCAGATCCCCTAGGTCACAGCCCAGGACTATTTCTACTTACCCTGTCTTAGATGCAGTAACCAACAGCAGAAGCATTACTGAGCTGTTTGAGTCTCTAAGCCTCTTTTCACTGAAAAAAAAAAAAAAAAAGTACAAATCTCTTGAACTTCACAGGAACCTTCTTTTTCATTTTCTCAATGACTATGCATTTTGCAATGATAGTATATGTTTTTCTTTCTTCTATAAGAATTTCCCAGATCCCTTTGGAGCAGCCATCTCTCTTCTGGACTCTTAGTGTGTTGAGTTTCTACTGTCCCTGAGACTGTGAACATTTTCTTGGTTTACCAATAGGGTAGGCTTGGTTCTCAAGACACATACTAATTGTGTTTGGTGCAAAATTGCCTATTGCATTTTGACCATTAATGATTCATGGTGTTTTCTATTCCTCAAGCAAATGCCAAATTGTGTACTTTCCAGGGAAGTCCAGAGCTTCTGCCTTTTCCTGCCTGAAGAAGTTACTTGGGTAGGATTCACAAGGATTCCTAGTTCATCAATTTCACAGAAAACAGAGGAGAGTGCGTTTTCAGGGGCCTGTATTTCAAGAAGTCCAAGGAAAACTCTACAGAAAACATGGAGCCAACATTCCCACTCAGATCAGAACTAAAGCTCAGAATGAGGCTCTTGCAAGAGAAGAAAGCACCGGAAAGTTTAGTGCTAAGAAGCCAGTTACCAATGCCTTACTGTGTGTTTTAAAATGGAGTCATAACACCTCATGAAACTGTATGGGAGAGTCTTTGCTGCAAGAAATACTTGCTTAAAGAAATACTGATCTATTGGCTCTAGGTGATCTCGTAGGAATTACTCAAAGGTTCTCAAAAACTAAGATGTGAATTAACAAATGCAAAAAGGCCAGATTTGTAGCTGAATCTGCTAGAAGTCAACCTTCATTTGGAGAGGGCCTGCAAAATCAAAGCCCAGAATACTGAGGTTGCTAAATAACATAAAATGCACATTATCCCTTCTATTAAAGGTCCATTAGTACAAGACCCATTACTTCATTTACAACTTAGGTAAACAAATTTTATTTGTCAAAATAAATGATATTTCAAAAGCTATGTGAAGCAAGAAAGTGGCTATAATTGTTTGTAATATATTTATTAAATAAAACTCATTAGTAATAATAATAATAAAGGGGAAAAAGCTCATTTACCATCTTGGAGGTGATTATTATACCAACATGGAATAATTTAATTCTTTCAACAATAATGTAAAAAGAATAAGATGATAATAAAATTGTTAGATAAAACATTGATGGGAACAGGATATTCTCACAGTTTCTAAGTCTCACTCTAAAGATGTATTTGTTTTTTATGGCTGCATAACAAATTAATGCAAACTTGGTGGCTTAAAATAACACATGACATACAAAACAGGGCTTCAATCAATGTGTCAGCCATGCTTAGTTCCTCTGGAAGCCAGCTGCAATTCATTGCCAGATGAGCTTCTCAGGGCCCTTTCACAACATGGTGGCCAACTTTTTCAAAGAGAGCAAAAGACCAGGAAGAGGAAGAAGAGAAAAATCATTGTCCAGTAGGGATAGAGTTTCAGTTTTGCAAGATGAAAAAGTTCTAGAGATCTGCTGCATGAGAATGTGCATATAGGTAATGCTACTGAGATGCACTTTAAAATCGTTAAGACGGTAAATTTTACATTATTTGTTTTTTAACACAAGTTTTAAAAAATAAAGGAAGAAACACAAAACACCTTCTGATTTTGAGGATTGGTATTGTGGAAGTGCATTAATACCAACCATTATTAGGACTCCTGGAAATGTTAGGTCTAACTAGTCTGTGTTGCAATCAGTGGCTCAATTCTAAAAAAAAAAAAATGCTGGCACATCAGAGAAGGTAGATGCTCCTCTATTCTAAATAATCAGAGATGCCAAAAAAAAAAAAAAAGAAGTTTTCCTGGGAGAGATTTCTTTGTTACTGACTGTGTGCAAGAATAGGTGAAGATGTCTTAGACTGGTGCTTCTCAAAATTTGACATGTGTAAGAATCACCTGGGATCTTGTTAAACTAGAGATCTGAATGCCGTTAAGTCCAAGATGCGGTATGAGGTTCCACAGTTCTAACACTCCCAGGTGGTGTTGTTATTGGTGGTTTAAGGCCTGCTGTTTGAGTAGTAAGAACTTAAAGAGATTCAAGCAATCAACAAAGATTGAACTAACTCTGCAGTGTTTACCAATTTCATCCAGTAATAAGAATCATCTAGTGCTCTTGTTAATAACAATAACTAGGCCCCCACCCTGGGAATTATGTCTTAGTTATTCTTCAGTGTAAGTTTAGAATCTGTGATTTTAACCTGATAATTGTTACAATCAGCCAATTTGGGGAAATACTAACTGAATGATCTTCAAGATGGTTTTCAATGTTGACTTTCCATCATTCTGCTTTATTTACTCAGAGAACTAACTATACAGTAGGGTTTTAACAGATTCCTATCTCCAGCTTTGTTTTGGTATGTTGTTTCATCCCAGAAACATTAAAATCCCTACTAGAAAGAATAATGTCCTTTTTGTTTTTAATAACCAAAAATGAATATTCAATATGCAAACCTGCTGTTATCATCCTGTAGTTAAGTGATTCTGTGAAGCTATCTCTGAAGGATCCAGTAGCTGGTCCTTCAGACACTGGATACTGTTCACGTGTGGTACAGCCTCCTCCTGTGTGCTTATGAGGCACAGTGTCTGCACACTGTTGTCACTGTCTGCCCTTCTCTCCTTAACTTACCATGTTTACCATGGCTTTATGTCTCCTGCTCAGGACTTTACACTCTGAGGTTTGTGCCTGCCCTCCCCAGGCCTTCAAGCCCTGAAGATCAGTCCTGATTCTGACCAGCATCAGGTTCAGAATTGCTCAGTCCAGTATCTCTGATCTTTGAGAACATCCATATTCATCTCAGTCTTCAGAAAAAGCCAAACTATGATCCAGTGAGATTCTCAATTGTAGGCTCTTCAGCACAGCAGTAAAATGTATTCCCTTGAGTATTCTTCAGTCAGAACAACTGTTGTGTACAGAGCCATGTGGTAGGGCTGGTGGAATGGGGAAATGAGTCTTCCTTTAGGGTTTAATATTGCTTTTCACTGATTATTCTTATGTCTCTGTGATTATCAGTACAAATTTCATGGAAATCATTTATTTATTTAACAAATATGCACTGGGCACCTACAACATGCCAGGCACGTTCTGATAGCTGGAGACACCCTACTGAGAAAAAAGGAGGCAGAGATGCTGTGCTGATGGAGGTGATGGGTTTTAAGCAAAAAGCCACAATAATGAAGGTAAAAGTACAAGCCATTATTAGGATCACGATGGAAATGAATCCAGTTCTTTGAGCATTATATAACAATGGAATCTGACTTATATGGAGGGTCAGATAATAATAATAGTTAATACATATGGACCTTGTGCTTTGCTATGTATCCTGCACTGTGCTGAATTCTGAACATGAGTGTTCCCAAATGTCCTCAAAAAAGCCATGCAATAGTGACTTCATTATATAGGTGAGAAAACTGAGGCTCAAAAAAGCTAATACCCAATCACAGAATGTGCTTCTACCAACCATCAACACTTCCTGCTGACCACTTACTACATCTCGTGTGGTAGAGACCAATCCTGCAGTTAGGGTTTTAATGCAGAACAGACTGCTCCATTCTGCCACCAGTTGGAATTTCCTGCCAGGGTTTCAAAATGCTGATTAACCTTGAGATAAAAGGTAAAAATAAGGCACCTATGCCTTACCTGGCTTGAGAATGTGTAGTGTTTACTATAAGAGATTTAGAGACTAGTAAGTGTGAACCAGTATATATAGAGGGGCTGGGAAAGGCAATGGGAAATGGCCTTTAACTCAGTACAGGGCAAACATAAAATAAATTCAAATGTAAATTATCACACATGTTTAACAGCCTGATGGTCAAATCTGAAATAGAAGCACTACCACTGAACCAAATTTTACCACTCTATTTTATAGGGGCAGCTTTGCCTTTGTGCTTTCTAAATTATCACAGGAAGATTAAAAGTAGAATCCATTTAATGATAAGTACACTTTATAGCTTCCTAACCCTTTAGAAAATTAATATTCATGCAATGCATATAATAGTAATTTTGCATTTGCATAGAACTTTAAGATTTTTCTCATTGGGTTTACTTGGATCAAGTTCGATCCCCCAAAATCTTGTATAACTCTTCAGTTGCTAAAACCTAAAGAAGTAGAGCCAAGTTCCCAAATTCACTGACCAAATTAGTGGTCCAATTTGGGTTACCATTCAAGCTTTTCTATTTTTGATCCTATGTACTTCAAAGTTTTGTTTACAAAATTGCCGAAATTCCAACAGACCTGCAGCTGAGGGTCCTGACTGTTAGAAGGAAAACTAACAAACAGAAAGGACATCTGCAGCAAAACCCCATCTGTACGTCACCATCATCAAAGACCAAAGGTAGATAAAATCACAAAAATGGGGAAAAAACAGAGCAGAAAAACTGAAAATTCTAAAAATCAGAGAGCCTTTCCTCCTCCAAAGGAATGCAGCTCCTCACCAGCAACAGAACAAAGCTGGATGGAGAATGCCTTCGACCAGTTGAGAGAAGGCTTCAGACGATCAAACTTCTCCGAGCTAAAGGAGGAAGTTCAAACCCATGGCAAAGAAGTTAAAAACCTTGAAAAAAGATTAGGCGAATGGCTAACTAGAATAACCAATGCAGAGAAGTCCTTAAAGGACCTGCTGGAGCTGAAAACCATGGCACAATAACTATGTGAAGAATGCACAAGCTTCAGTAGCCGATTCGATCAACTGGAAGAAAGGGTATCAGTGACGGAAGATCAAATGAATGAAATGAAGCAAGAAGAGAAGTTTAGAGAAAAAAGAATAAAAAGAAATGAGCAAAGCCTCCAGGAAATATGGGACTATGTGAAAAGACCAAATCTACATCTGATTGGTGTACCTGAAAGTGATGGGGAGAATGGAACCAAGTTGGAAAACATTCTGCAGGATAGGAGAACTTCCCCAATCTAGCAAGGCAGGCCAACATTCAAATTCAGGAAATACAGAGAACGCCACAAAGATACTCCTGGAGAAGAGCAACTCCAAGACACATAATTGTCAGATTCACCAAAGTTGAAATGAAGGAAAAAATGTTAAGGACAGCCAGAGAGAAAGGTTGGGTTACCCACAAAGGGAAGACCATCAGACTAACAGCTGATCTCTCAGCAGAAACTCTACAAACCAGAAGAGAGTGGGGGCCAATATTCAACATTCTTAAAGAAAAGAATTTTCAACCCAGAATTTCATATCCAGCCAAACTAAGCTTCATAAGTGAAGGAGAAATAAAACCCTTTACAGACAAGCAAATGCTGAGAGATTTTGTCACCACCAGGCCTGCTTTAAAAGAGCTCCTGAAGGAAGCACTTAACATGGAAAGGAACAACCGGTACCAGCCACTGCAAAAACATGCCAAATTATAAAGACCATTGAGGCTAGGAAGAAACTGCATCAACTAACGAGCAAAACAACCAGCTAACAACATAATGACAGGACCAAATTCACACATAACAATATTAACTTTAAATGTAAATGGGCTAAATGCTCCAATTAAAAGACACAGACTGACAAATTGGATAAAGAATCAAGGCCCATCAGTGTACTGTATTCAGGAAACCCATCTCACGTGCAGAGACACACATAGGCTCAAAATAAAGGGAAGGAGGAAGATCTACCAAGCAAATGGAAAACAAAAAAAGGCAGGGGTTGAAATCCTAGTCTCTGATAAAACAGACTTTAAACCAACAAAGATCAAAAGAGACAAACAAGGCCATTACATCATGGTAAAGGGATCAATTCAACAAGAAGAGCTACCTATCCTAAATATATACGAACCCAATACAGGAGCACCCAGATTCATAAAGCAAGTCCTTAGAGACTTACAAAGACACTTAGACTGCCACACAATAATAATGGGAGACTTTAACACCCCACCGTCAACATTAGACAGATCAACGAGACAGAAAGTTAACAAGGATATCCAGGAATTGAACTCAGCTCTGCACCAAGCAGACCTAATAGACATCTACAGAACTCTCCACCAAAATCAACAGAATATACATTCTTCTCAGCACCACACCGCACATATTCCAAAATTGACCACACAGTTGGAAGTAAAGCACTCCTCAGCAAATGTAAAAGAAAAGAAATTATAACAAACTGTCTCTCAGACCACAGTGCAATCAAACTACAATTCAGGAGCAAGAAATTCACTCAAAACCGCTCAACTACATGGAAACTGAACAACTTGCTCCTGAATGACTATGGGGTACATAACGAAATGAAGGCAGAAATAAAGATGTTCTTTGAAATCAATGAGAACAAAGACACAACATACCAGAATCTCTGGGACACATTTAAAGCAGTGTGCAGAGGGAAATTTATAGCACTAAATGCCCACAAGAGAAAGCAGGAAAGATCTAAAATTGACACCCTAACATCACAATTACAAGAACTAGGGAAGCAAGAGCAAACACATTCAAAAGCTAGCAGAAGGCAAGAAATAACTAAGATCAGAGCAGAACTGAAGGAGATAGAGACACAAAAAACCCTTCAAAAAATAAATGAATCCAGGAGCTGGTTTTTTGAAAAGATCAAAAAAATTGATAGACCGCTAGCAAGATTAATAAAGAAGAAAAGAGAGAAGAATCAAATAGATGCAATAAAAAATGATAAAGGGGATATCACCACCGATCCCACAGAAATGCAAACTACCATCAAAGAATACTGTAAACACCTCTGCACAAATAAACTAGAAAATCCAGAAGAAATGGATAAATTCCTGGACACATACACCCTCCCAACACTAAACCAGGAAGAAGTTGAATCTCTGAATAGACCAATAACACCCTCTGAAATTGAGGCAATAATTAATAGCTTGCCAACCAAAAAAAGTCCAGGACCAGACGGATTCACAGCCGAATTCTACCAGAGGTATAAGGAGGAGCTGGTACCATTCCTTCTGAAACTATTCCAATCAATAGAAAAAGACGGAATCCTCCCTCACTCATTTTATGAGGCCAGCGTCATCCTGATACCAAAGCCTGGCAAAGACACAACCAAAAAAGAGAATTTTAGACCAATATCCCTGATGAGCATCGATGCAAAAATCCTCAATAAAATACTGGCAAACCAAATCAAGCAACACATCAAAAAGCTTATCCACCATGATCAAGTGGGCTTCATCCCTGGGATGCAAGGCTGGTTCAACATATGCAAATCAATAAATGTAATCCAGCATATAAACAGAACCAAAGACGAAAACCAAATGATTATCTCAATAGATGCAGAAAAGGCCTTTGACAAAATTCAACAACACTTCATGCTAAAAACTCTCAATAAATTAGGTATTGATGGGACATATCTCAAAATAATAAGAGCTATCTATGACAAACCCACAGCCAATATCATACTGAATGGGCAAAAACTGGAAGCATTCCCTTTGAAAACTGGCACAAGACAGGGATGCCCTCTCTCATCACTCCTATTCAACATAGTGTTGGAAGTTCTGGCCAGGGCAATCAGGCAGGAGAAGGAAATAAATGGTACTCAATTAGGAAAAGAGGAAGTCAAATTGTCCCTGTTTGCAGATGACATGATTGTATATGTAGAAAACCCCATCGTCTCAGCCCAAAATCTCCTTAAGCTGATAAGCAACTTCAGCAAAGTCTCAGGACACAAAATCAATGTGCAAAAATCACAAGCATTCTTATACACCAATAACAGACAAACAGAGAATCAAATCATGAGTGAACTCCTATTCACAATTGCTTCAAAGAGAATAAAATACCTAAGAATCCAACTTACAAGGGATGTCAAGGACCTCTTCAAGGAGTACTACAAATCACTGCTCAATGAAATAAAAGAGGATACAAACAAATGGAAGAATATTCCATGCTCATGGGTAAGAAGAATCAATATCGTGAAAATGGCCATACTGCCCAAGGTAATTTATAGATTCAATGCCATCCCCATCAAGCTACCAATGACTTTCTTCACAGAATTGGAAAAAACTACTTTAAAGTTCATATGGAAACAAAAAAGAGCCCGCATTGCCAAGTCAATCCTAAGCCAAAAGAACAAAGCTGGAGGCATCATGCTACCTGACTTCAAACTATACTACAAGGCTGCGATAACCAAAACAGCGTGGTACTGGTACCAAAACAGAGATATAGATCAATGGAACAGAACAGAGCCCTCAGAAATAATGCCGCACATCTACAACTATCTGATCTTTGACAAACCTGACAAAAACAAGCAATGGGGAAAGGATTCCCTATTTAATAAATGGTGCTGGGAAAATTGGCTAGCCATATGTAGAAAGCTGAAACTGGATCCCTTCCTTACACCTTATACAAAAATTAATTCAAGATGGATTAAAGACTTAAATGTTAGACCTAAAACCATAAAAACCCTAGAAGAAAACCTAGGCAATTCCATTCAGGACATAGGCATGGGCAAGGACTTCATGTCTAAAACACCAAAAGCAATGGCAACAGAAGCCAAAATTGACAAATGGGATCTAATTAAACTAAAGAGCTTCTGCACAGCAAAAGATACTACCCTCAGAGTGAACAGCCAACCTACAGAATGGGATAAAATTTTTGCAATCTAGTCATCTGACAAAGGGCTAATATCCAGAATCTACAATGAACTCAAACAAATTTACAAGAAAAAAACAAACAACCCCATCAAAAAGTGGGTGAAAGATATGAACAGACACTTCTCAAAAGAAGACATTTATGCAGCCAACAGACACATGAAAAAATGCTCATCATCACTGGCCATCAGAGAAATGCAAATCAAAACCACAATGAGATACCATCTCACACCAGTTAGAATGGCCATCAGTAAAAAGTCAGAAAACAACAGGTGCTGGAGAGGATGTGGAGAAATAGGAACACTTTTACACTGTTGGTGGGACTGTAAACTAGTTCAGTCATTGTGGAAGACAATGTGGCGATTCCTCAGGGATCTAGAACTAGAAATACCATTTGACCCAGCCATCCCATTACTGGGTATATACCCAAAGGACTATAAAACATGCTGCTATAAAGATACATGCACATGTATGTTTATTGCGGCACTATTCACAATAGCAAAGACTTGGAACCAACCCAAATGTCCAACCATGATAGACTGGATTAAGAAAATGTGGCACATATACACCATGGAATACTATGCTGCCATAAAAAATGATGAGTTCACGTCCTTTTTAGGGGCATGGATGAAGCTGGAAACCATCATTCTCAGGAAACTATTGCAAGGACAAAAAACCGAACACCACATGTTCTCACTCATAGGTGGGAATTGAGCAATGAGAACACTTGGACACAGGAAGGGGAACGTCACACACCGTGGCCTGTTGTGGGGTGGGGGAAGTGGGGAGGGATAGCATTAGGAGATATACCTAATGTAAATGACGAGTTAATGGGTGCAGCACACCAACGTGGCACATATATACATATGTAACTAACCTGCATGTTGTTCACATGTACCATAAAACTTAAAGGATAATAAAAACAAAAACAAAAAGCAAAATTGCGGCAATTTAAATTAATGAGACTATTTTAATATCCAGACTAGCTTACAGCATAGACATACTTGAAAATGTAATAATTTTATGTAAAATTTTACATTAAAGAATGTCAACAGGCTGGGCTTGGTGGCTCATGCCTGAAATCCTAGCACTTCGGGAGGCCAAGGCAGGCAGATCACTTGAGCCCAGGAGTTTGACACCAGCCTGGGAAAACTGGTGAGACCTCTTCTCTACAAAAACACAAAAAATTTAGCTGGACCTGGCAGCACATGCCTATAGTCCCAGCTACTGGGGAGGCTAAGGTGGGAGAATCACTTGAGCCCAGGAGGCAGAGGTTGCTGTGAGCACAGGTTGTGCCACCGCACTCCAGCCTGGATGACAGAACCAGATCTTGTCTCAAAAAAAAGAATGCCAAGAAAATACTGTTTGCTGTTATATAGATTTTAGTATATGACAAAGCACACCATGTTCACTGATATAAAGTAGCTGATATGCATCAATTTTGAAATAACAGAATAGCTTTTTTCTGCCATATTCTATCAGTAGTATAAAGTCGTGTACATAGAATATTATCTTAAACTTATAAGTTTTTGATTCATGTGCTTCCATCCCATAATTGTGCCATCTTTAAAAGAACACTGTTCATGCGAGAAAATTAATCATCATTTAATTTTCTAAGTTACATTCTAGGCGATTACAAGGGTCAATCATGGTCGCTTGGATGTCTTTGAAAACTTTCCATTGCTCTCTCTTGTCTACTTCATCATTCTTCAAAAAACCAAACCACCTGCCTTTTCACCTGGTTTACCACCACAGAAATCTCAAGAATTGATCTGGCACCACAAAGTTTTCCCTCAGATTGTCAAATTCAAAAAATAAAGACAAAGCCAACCAGGCCATTCAGAAAAGTAGGAAGGCTAGGATTATCATAGATTATATTTTACTTTTCCCCATCACAAGTATGAGAGTTTCACTGAGCACATGTTGGGTATTATTCAAGGCTCTTAGTACACACAGACTTACTAGGTACATTGACGATGAATCAATATGTTGGACAAGCTTCCTGATGGAAATTGGACACAAGCAGGTTAGGCAAGGAAATCTATTTACATTCAAGTTCAGAACCGTATAGAAATAATGACATTGAAACCCTTCTCAAAATGTAGCTTTTGAGGCAACTTTTTCTTTTCCTTATCCTGAGATTCTTTGTATTTCACACCCAGTCTTATACTGGCCACTAGCCCAGTCTTTGTTCACCAGATACATTGGCACTTTGAGCATTCTCTTGAAGAAATGTAGTGCATTTTGAATGACAAATAATTATATCATCTGCTCCCTGTTTTGTTTTTAAGCTGCTTCTTAATTTTTGTTTCTATCCTTGTGACCACTTTTTGATTATCATATGCTCATTAGTATTCCCAGAGGCAAATGCTGATTATTACTTGGAAATGCAACTGTTTGGATTCTAAAAGAACCCAAATAAGCATCAGGTAAGAACCTGAACACAGGGCTCATGCCTAGACAAAACTCTAAATTGTCTAGGGTGATTGGTCATCCTGGTTTGCCCTGGATTCCGGAGAGAGGAGGTTGTCTGGGGTGAGAAACTTTCCATGATAAAACCAAGACAATCCTAGGCAAACTTGTGTGGCTAGTCACCACATAACTGGCTGAAGTTTTTATGAAGGACCCTGTCCTCTTTACTGCCCCTGCACAGCATTCATATTCCTGGGAAGAGGGTGCTGCTTTTTAAAATTTTCTGGCTCTGCTTCCTACTCTGGCATGGTTACTGTCGACCAAAAAAAAACAAAAATCCATTTTCAAAACTGCTGGGCGTGTAATAGGGGGTCCTCACTTTTTCCTTCTTCTTTCTTGAAATTTATAAGATATATTCTCATTCTCACAGAGAAACTTATAAGAAAGGTACAGGCTAGCCAGAGTGCCAAGCAGCCTAGAAAGGCATGGTTCTCTCTGTGAAATACAGATTGTTAACAGAGCATTTGCTGGAAGACCCAGGCCTTTGCTGGAGGTCCAGTGAGATGTGAAGTCAAAAGATCAGAGTCCCATTTGGACATGGGACTGGCTCTGTGCACTCCCTTAGGTAAACGGGTTACAGATTTGGGTCTCTAGCAACTATACAGCAGAACTGAGTTTTATTCTTGACTTTGTCTCTATAGGTATGACTTGGGGTAAATCACTTCTCTCTAAGCATATCTGTGTATTCATTTGTCAAATGAAGCTGTTGAAGTAAATACAAATGAATTCTGAGCCATTTCAACTCTGGAGTTTTATGAGAGCTTATCATGTGACTGGTATCAATCTCAGTATTTCACATGTTTTATACCATGTAATCCTTGCAATAACTCTCAGAGGTAGATAAGCATTTGCTCTTCTAGATCCAATTTACATTATTCCCCATTCTGCTAGAATGCTGGGGAGGCTAACCTATGGAAAAGACATTTCTTCTTTCTGGATTCTGTTTCAGTTCCGACAGTGAGGAGCAGGAAATTGGAGGAAAGGATGAGAGTGAGGTTTGGGTACTTATTCTCAAGCTCCCTTGCTGTGAGTTCCTCTTTGGATGGATGCAAGTCTTAATGAAAGCCTGAAAGCCTGCAGCTTCTGCCAGCCATCACTCTCCATACAGCTCTCCATCTTTCTATGGGTTCCAACATTCTCCCTCCTTTATCCTTTAGAATAATGGAAAGTTTCTGGTTTCAACCCAGACCCAACCCAACTTACTAGCAGTGACAGCATGGGAAAATTACTATGATTAAGCTTTTCCACATCAAAAGTCATCCAGTTTAAAGTAATTTCACAAATGAAAATACTGTGTTAACAAAGCATTTCACATAGTCCCTGAGACAGAGTAGAGGTTCAGCAGATGTTAATCTTTCTTCACTTCTCCTAAACTTCTTGAATTTCTTTGTAGGTCACTAGTCATAATTTTGTCCCATTTGTGTTCTCTCTACCCTTCTCAAATGTGATTTCTATTTCCCACCGGAAAACAAAGGTTGACACATGTACTATGCACCCAGTAATTCTCAAACACAACTTGCTGAATGAATAAAGTCAATTTTTGGCAAGGTTTCTGATCAGGATCCAGTTTCCTAGGTCTTCCCCTATTCCAGAAAGAACCTTTTTCAAACAAGGTCACTGATATATACTCCTCAACTTACTTCTCTCCTTTGGACATTCCCACTACTGACACAGCCAGAGAGAGAAACATAAAACATTACAGTTTGTTCTTTACAAAATAGTCATGTGAAATACAAACTTACTCAACTACTAATAGATATTTCTACAAATCATGATTTCATTACCAACCTGAGGCTGGGGATTGATAATAAAGAACAAAACCGATACAGATATTTTGATTCACATCTTCTAGGGTGATTGAAATCTTCCTCTCAATCCTCCTGTCTAGGAAAGGCCTGTAGAAAGTTACCATTTCATGGCATAACTTTCCCATCTCATCGTGCTGCAGATGCTGCTATCTCCAGCAAAGATGAGATGGGAAAGTTATGCCATGGTATCCTCTGGATGGGTCCTTTAATTAACTATTGTCATAACTGAGGTTAAACATTTTGTTTTCCTCTAAGATTAAATTAATTCAAGACCCATAGGTTGCTCAGTTATTTTTTAAATAAGTCTCAAAAATTTGTGTTGTTATACAGAAAAATTGAAGTAAAGAAGATATCAAATTGAATAGAAATGAAAAAATAATCTGTGAATCCTCAGTGCATTATTCTTCTCTCTATAGTGAATGTGGGATTTGTGGATAACTAAAAGCAATAAGAAAAATGTCTTCCAGTTTCCTTACAATGTGTTAGTATGTTAACTGAATTACCCTCTCAGAGCCTCAGTTTCCCTCCTTATAAAATGCAGGAGTTGTATTTGAAGGTCTATAGCATCTTCCCCACCTCCCATCTGAAGAATTTATGATTGTCCCAGATGCTGCCCTGAAGGAATTGTGAGAGTACCATAAAATAGGCACAATACAGGCCCACCTACCAACTGGCTCTAAAGATTAAAGGAGCCTCAGCAGTAACTTTCCTTGAAAATGTTGCACATTTAAAATAACTACTCTTGTGAGGAGAGTTATGTGACTAGATGATTATAGGCTTGAGGAAATAAATTTGACCCCCTGCAAGCATGAAACTACTCCCTGTAAGAGAAAGCCTATACTATCTCCATGATCCCCTCTCTTAAGGCACTCTCTGAGTGCTGAGACCTGGCCAGGACATGTAAAAGACCCTATCCTTGTTTGAGTTCCTTCTTCTCTCCCACTTCCTAGCATCTCACAAGAGAGTTTCCTATGAGAGAGTTAATGTTGTTGCAAGCTGGTGTCATCTGACATCCAAAGATTCCTCTGAGGATGTATTTTCCAATTGTTTACGACCTTAGGGAGTGGGGTATAATTGTTGCTATAAAGTAAGGCGCTGCAATAACCTTGGGAATTTGAAATCACTACAGGAAATTGAAGAGTAAATTCCTCTTAATAAAGCAGTGCACAGCAAGATGCTGAGGAATGAAAAATTAAATCATGAAGCAGTTGTTGCTTAGCAGGGAAGAGAGACCACCAGCTGCAAGAACTCAACAGGGTAGGCTTGAGATACTTTTTCCACCAACAGGCCCCTGGCCTGTTCCAGAAGTGGGTATATTACATTCTGGATGAAGAATTTTGAGAACAAAGTGATTCCTCTGGCTTAAGCAGGGAGGCAGCAAGCTGTGGGAAATAAAGGCCCCAAGAAGCAGAGTCCAGCCTAGGCTTTTCCGTTATGATTGGTCTTTTTTGATGAGACCCAGATTGTGTCCTGTCAGCCTCAGTTTCCCCAGAAGTAAGTCTAATGTTAGAATGCATGATGGCTTTTCTTTCCCCAACGTCTGGAGAGAAAGATAATATCTCTTGTGCTATATGTGTGAAGTCTACAAGAGAGAAAATATGTAAAGCTTGGGCAGGGAGGCATTACCTCAATACAAATTACAATGTCAATGTGACAGCCTTGCTGTTCAAAGCACTTTGTATGTGCCTTGTTCATCCTTAATGATTTTTTTTTTCATTAAAAATAGAACAGAAAACCTTTCTAGGCAAAAGAAGGTGAAAACAGCACTCAAGCAGAGTGGTATTGTCCTGAAGAGACATGAATGTCTCCTCAGGACGTCCTGGATGCATTTGTCTAATTTTAATGTGTTGTGGCGAAATACTCAACCCCAGGGAAAGCGGATGTCAGTGGACTTGGTACAGCCATTGCTTTCCAGCACAATCTTGATCATTTCACCGACTTCATCCAGCCCCTCTAGACCACTTGGATCTCCAGCTCAATGCATTACTAGATACTGTCAACCTTTCTCCTTGAGCAAATGCCACTTTTTTTCCTAGCCCCTGAATCCTTTGCTCTCCCACTCTAATATTTTGGTTTCCACCTGCTCTATACTATTAGAAGCAACAGAGCTGGTTACTAGCATAGGCTCTGGAATCAACCCTGATATGACTGAGTCCCAGTTCTGCTGTGTACAAGCAAGCTACTTAATTTTCCCCAGCATTAGTCTTCCCATTGTTAAAATGAAGAAAAGTATTGCTACAAATATTAAATAAGACCAGCTATGCAAAACATATAACAGAGTTCTTGGTATAAAATAATATCGACACATTTTTTCCTATAATTATTTTTGTTACTGGATGCCTATTTGGACTGGCTTCTGATTTGCATTTTGAAGCCTTCCCTAAAATATATCACCTTCTCTGCTCTCCTTCTCTCTGATTTATCCAGTAAGCTCTTAACCCAGACTAAATTACTTAAACTTTCTAGATCTCTACTCTCTCGTCTGTAGAATGGGGAATAATAACAGTTATTCTCTCATAGCTTCTGCTTCTGTGCTCAGTGGTCTCATCCAAAACTCTGCACCACAACCTTTGCCTTGATCTCATATCTTCTCTCCCAGGAGAGTCAAAATGCAAAAGGCAGCTTGTCAACTACCTGGAGTCTTAGCTTTTCTAGACCAAACAACATAGTTTTATTTATTCATTTTATTTTTATCTGTTCCCCAGATGAAATTATTTCTAAGCTTTTCCCCATCCTACTTGTCTCCTCTAAATGACTTGACTGGTCTATGTACAACCTTTCTATAAGGTGCTAAAATTATGTACAATACTCTCTTAGTCCATTCCAGGTGGCTATAACAAAACACTTTCAACTGAATAATGTATTAAAAATATAAATGTATTGTTCACAGCTCTAGAGGGTAGAAATTCCAAAATTAGGGTACTAGAAGATTCAGTGTCTGTTGAGGTCCCGTTACTCACAGATAGTGCCTTCCATGTGCCCTCACATGGTGGAAGGGGCAAACAGTCTCTCTCAAGTCCCTTTTCTTTTTTTTTTTTTTATTATACTTTTTATTATATTTTGTTATCACCACTTTCTCTTTTTTTTAATTATACTTTAAGTTTTAGGGTACATGTGCACATTGTGCAGGTTAGTTACATATGTATACATGTGCTATGCTGGTGCGCTGCACCCACTAACTCGTCATCTAGCATTAGGTATATCTCCCAATGCTATCCCTCCCCGCTCCCCCGACCCCACCACAGTCCCCAGAGTGTGATATTCCCCTTCCTGTGTCCATGTGATCTCATTGTTCAACTCCCACCTATGAGTGAGAATATGCGGTGTTTGGTTTTTTGTTCTTGCGATAGTTTACTGAGAATGATGATTTCCAATTTCATCCATGTCCCTACAAAGGACATGAACTCATCATTTTTTATGGCTGCATAGTATTCCATGGTGTATATGTGCCACATTTTCTTAATCCAGTCTATCATTGTTGGACATTTGGGTTGGTTCCAAGTCTTTGCTATTGTGAATAATGCCGCAATAAACATACGTGTGCATGTGTCTTTATAGCAGCATGATTTATAGTCATTTGGGTATATACCCAGTAATGGGATGGCTGGGTCAAATGGTATTTCTAGTTCTAGATCCCTGAGGAATCACCACACTGACTTCCACAATGGTTGAACTAGTTTACAGTCCCACCAACAGTGTAAAAGTGTTCCTATTTCTCCACATCCTTTCCAGCACCTGTTGTTTCCTGACTTTTTAATGATTGCCATTCTAACTGGTGTGAGATGGTATCTCATAGTGGTTTTGATTTGCATTTCTCTGATGGCCAGTGATGGTGAGCATTTTTTCATGTGTTTTTTGGCTGCATAAATGTCTTCTTTTGAGAAGTGTCTATTCATGTCCTTCGCCCACTTTTTGATGGGGTTGTTTGTTTTTTTCTTGTAAATTTGTTTGAGTTCATTGTAGATTCTGGATATTAGCCCTTTGTCAGATGAGTAGGTTGATGCACTAATCTTATTCATGAGATCAAAGCCCTCACGACTTTGTCACCTCCTAAAGCCCCTACCTCTTAATATGATTGCATTAGAGACAGGTTTCAACATATAAATTTTGGGGGATCAAAAACATTCAGACCATGGAAAACACTTCCTCCCATAAATGACCAGCCCAAATAAAACAATACCACCTCTTACCTCCTTTGCTTTCTAAAGTTTTCCTCAGATTCTATACATCTTATAGTGAAGCACGGATCTCATTAAGGTTTTCACATGTCATTTTATATGTTGCCTATCTTGATATTTTTTTACTACAAAAATCCCTAAATGAAAACGTTCAGCTTCATCTTCCCATTTCTCTATTTATGCAATTAATACCCTGAACTCAAAAAGTGAGGTTTTGCATTTGCATTAGGTTTCATATAATTAGATTCAGACCTTCATTTCAGTTGGTGGATGTTGTTGTGAATACTGATTGTTTTCAATCAAACGTAGTAACTCCTCTCAACATATTAGCTCCTCCTCTCAGCATTTTTTTCTTTTTCTTTTTGGCCACAAATGTGATAAACCCGCTCTTTCCATATTTTTCTCCAGGTCCACTGACAAAACATTTTAGTCAGGACCAACGACGGAGCCCTGGATCATGCTATTTAAAAACTTTCTCCCAATTTTCATCCATCAAACAATTCCCTTTGGGTTTTTTTGGTTCAACCAGTTACAAGTCTACCTAATTGTTTTTATGTATTACCAGTATTTCTCCATCATGGCCCAACTATGACATAAAACCCTTTTGGCTTCCCAGATGCAACAACTACCATGTTTCCCTAAGGCAGTAATCCACAGTTGTTATAAACTTGAGCACTGGAGTTAGACTAGTGTTCAATTCAGCACCCACCCCTGGCTAGCTGTTGTGACCACAAACAGGTTACATAAGCCGTCTGTCCACAAGTCACAAATGAAGAAGCTGAAGTTTCATGAGAGTAGCTACTTTATCAAGCTAATATTGTTTCTGTGCAGATGTAATATGATAAAGCATATCAAAAGCTTACAAGCAACCACTTGTATGTAATAGTGACTTGATAAATATTCATTATTTTTCAATCCATAAACAATGTAACTTGACCAAAAAGGATAAAAGGAAAAATCAGGTTACCCTGGCCATATCTTTGCTGACTTCTGCCACAAATTTGTTGCTTTTTTTCTAACATCTGTGTTCCTTCATAGCTCTGACCTCCGTTGGTAATCATATATTCACTCATGATTACTTATTTAAAATTATCTCCTTCATTTAATCAGAAGCTCCATGAGGACAGCATCCATGTCAACTTTTGCTCAGCACTGCCTCTCCAGTATCTTGCACAGTGCTGGACAGGTACTCAGTGAGTATTGGTAAATAAATAGATAAATGATCTCTGTTAAATTTGTATTGATAATACCTCAGACACAAGAATGGTCAATGAAAAGCACTGTTAAACGATTAAGTAAAACTTATTTCCCTACCCTACCAACCGCACCACATGGCTCTGCACAGATCAGCTAGTCTGATTAAAGAATATTTAAGGAAATACATTTTAATGTTGTGCTGAAGAGACTAAAATCAAGAATCTCACTGAATCGTAATTTTGCTTTCTCTGCAGACTGAGACGGATATGGAAGACCAGAGATATTGTACAGAGCAACTTAGAACCTGATGATGGTCAGAATCAGGGCTGATGTTTTTGTGTCTGGGGAGAGCAGGCACAAACCTCAGATTGTAAAGTCCTAAGCAGGATATATAAAGCCATGATAAATGGAGAACTACAGTAAGGAGAGAAGAGCAGAAGATGCCAACAGTGTGCAGACACTGTGCCTCACCAGCGCATAGGAAAAGGTGGTACTACAGGTAAACAGTGTCCACTGTCTAAAGGACCAGGTATTGGACTGAGATGAGAGTCACCCTCAACTCCACAACCTCTTCCATCCTGTGTTACCTTGAGCAAGGCATTTGGCGTCTATGGACCTCAGCTTTCTAGTCCACACAATGAAGGAACTAATATAAACTTCACAAAGTTGTTATACAGATAAGATTACATCACTTCACCAAATCATTTAGCTACCAAGTGATAATAGAAGGTGTATTAGTTCGTTCTCCCACTGCTGCTATAAAGACATACCTGAGACTGGGTAATTTATTAAGAAAAGAGGTTTAATTGGCTCACTGTGGACTGCAAAGGCTTCTGCTTCTAGGAAGGCCTCAGGAAACTTACAATGATGGCAGAAGGCAAACGGGAAGCAGGCACGGTTTTCACATGACCAGAGCAGGAGAGAGAGAGAGAGCAACGGTGGAAGTGCTACACAGTCAAAGAACCAGATTTTGTGAGAACTTACTCACTGTCATGAGAACAGTAAGAGGAAAACTCGCCCCCATGATCCAATCACCTTCCACCAGGTCCCTCCTCCAACACTGGGGATTACCATTCAACATGAGATATGGGTGGGGACACAGCCAAACCATATCAGCAGGTTTACGTATTCAGCACTTATCTTGGTAATTAAGAAATAAAAGGGAGGATATTTTGTTATTCCTTCTGATAGCAATCTTACTGTCACGGGGACAATAAAAAAGACAAAAGAAAACAGAAAAAAGTAGACAGAATGATTTTAGGGGAAAGATATATGTAATTAATAGCCAGCCATATGGGAAATACAGAAAAATAGCATCATGAAAACATCATGATGATGTAGCTAGTGTTTCCCAAATTTACCGAATCATAAAAATGTCTTTGTTAAACACGCAAGATTTAGACATCCACGCCAGATGAACTAAGACCCAATCTCCAGGGAGGAACATAGAGAGCTGTATTAAGCATACCAAGTGATTCCAGCACTGTGGGAGGCCAAGGAGAGCAGATCACCGGCAGTCAGGAGTTTGAGACCAGGTTGGCTGAATGGAGAAACCCCGTCTCTACTAAAAATACAAAAATTAGCACGGCATGGTGGTGCATGCCTGTAATCCCAGCTACTCAGAAGGCTGAGGCAGGAGAATCGCTTGAACCTAGGAGACGGAGGTTGCAGTGAGCTGAGATAATGCCACTGCACTCCAGCCTGGGCGATAGGACCAGACGCCATCTGAAAAAGAAAAAAAAAAACCCAGGTGATAATTATAAACCAAACAAAATTGAGAAATCCTGCTTTAGTTCAATCTTTTCTAATTACCTGCAAGCCCTCAAGTGTGTTCCATGTACCAGTAGCTTCAACATCACCTGGGGACTGTTTAGAATTTCAGCCTCGCAGGCTGCACCCCAGAGGCCTGCAGACTGCACTTTGAAAATTGCTGCACTACTTTGTTTCTGAGGAAATCTTTTCCCTTCCCTTAACACTTTATCACATTTTTTCTTTAAAGAGTGAAACATTTGCCTTGCCTTGGTGCTCTGGCACCCCTCCTTTCCTCCACAATTTGACCATCGTAGCTTTTATTAAAGGTACTGATCAGTGTTAAATCATCTCAGTATCTGTGATACCCTTTAGGAGCTCAAAAATGCATTATACTTGTAACTGCACTAAAGTAAAATTTTACCTACAGTGATTCAATAATCTAATGTGAAAGCTCTGCCAGTGACTTAAAATGAAAGACATTTCTGGATGTAATGTCTTTAATTTGTAATGTTTTATTATCTCTCTGTATCAGAGAGGGTCCTTCCAAGAAAGCAGCAGTCACTATATGTATTTAGAGTTTTAACTGAATAGAGGCAGTTCATGGCAAAAGTTATGAAACATCTAAAAAGCCATATGGAGAAGTGGGGCCAACCTGATTTTAGCCACAGAAAAAAGCCATTACCATTCCAAGAGTACAAGGAAAAAAAGTAGAGAGCCAGAGCTGTTCGATGCCGGGGCTGGTGTTACCCAGTGAAAACAGAAAGTGTGACAGACCTTTAAAACAATAGGAAGAGGGAGGAGATACAGTCACTGCCAGAGATACTCACTGAGGCAGAGAGACTGGGGGAAACACTATGACTTCTCCTTTCCCCTTGCTGTCTAGTTTCCCCACAATGCCTTCCACTGGCTGAACCAAGTTGGGAGACAGTTGACTCGGAAGTCTACAAAATGCAACTACAGAGAAGTGCAAGGGGATAAAGGGATCCAATAGCAATCAAGACATGGACAGGAAAGAAACTAGAAAATGAACAGAGTAAACCCAAAGAATGTATAGGGTGGCAATAAGGAAAAAAAACAGTAATTAATGAAACAGAAAATCACAGCAAGAAGAAATAACCAACAAAAACAAATAAGTTCAATTCTAAAGTTAACAACCCAAAGAAGAAACTGTCTGTATCATAACCAAGATAAAATGTTCAATAGATTGAATAGATAAGAGAGAAAACAGGGCAAGGACTGGCACAGCTTAGCTTTGGTATGATATTGCTGTAGAGGAATGCCATTTACAAATTTTTTCAGTGAATGCTTATTGAGCACCTGCTATGTGCTGGCCCCTGTTCTGAGCAATGGGAGAATAGAAATGAGAAAGAAAAGACAAGACATAGAGTTGGTGTTCAAATGAGGAAAGGCAGGCCTGCTGTGGTGGCTCATGCCTATAATCTCAGCACTCTGGGAGGCCAAGGCAGGCAGATCACCTGAGGTCAGGGGTTCGAGACCAGCCTGGCCATCATGGTAAAACCCCATATCTATTAAAAATACAAAAATTAGCCAGGCGTGGTGGCAGGCGCCTGGAGTCCCAACTACTTGGAAGGCTGAGGAGGGATAATCGCTTGAACCCAGGAAGCGTAGGTTGCAGTGAGCTGAGATCGCCGCATTGCACTCCAGCCTGGGCAAAAAGAGCAAAACTCTGTTTCAATAAATAAATAAATAAATAAAAGAAATAAATAACAAATGAGGAAAGGCAGACAAATAACAAATAAACCCACAAATAAATAGTAATATTAACTGTGCAAAAATTTAAAACACGACAATGAGATAGAGAGTGATTGTGTGGCTCTTTTAAATTGTGAGTAGGTGGGATTGTGGAGAAGACACATATTTAATCTGAGATATTGACAAAGAGACCATGCATGTGATGCTCGGAGTAAAGAACTTTTCATGTCTGACAGACAGAAACAAGCTTGACATATTAGAGAAACAGAAAACAGGCAGTGGGCAGAATCGAAAACGAAGGAGAGAGTTAGATGAAGTCCAGATTGTATAGAGATTTGTAAGTCCAGAGACCTTTTCATTCCAGGGTTGTGAGTATTTTCCTTTACTCTAAATACAATAAAATGTCATGGAAGGATTTCAAACATGGGAATAGCATAAATGACTTCTTTTAAAAATGTATCTGGATGGCAAGTATTGAAGGTAGGTCCTAAACTGCTGCTGCATTCATCTATTTGAGAGGTGATAGTGGCTTAGCCCAGGTTAGTTGTCTAAGAGATGGGAACACAAGAAAAGATTTAGATAATGGAGTGCAAGGAGACACTGTGGGAATTAGAAGTGGGTTCCATTTGGAGGGCAAGAAACAGGAGGAATCAAGGTAAGAGATGGATGATTTGAACATCAAGGGTGTGCATTACCAATGAGGTGATATTGCCTTCAAGAGGCTGAAATATCTGTGGGAGGTGGGGAAACAAGAATATCTCACTCTTTTGTATGTATAAAGCATAGATATTCATAATACAGTAACAGGTATACAGTATATCTCTGATGTTAAAACTTCATGGGGGAGATCAATACGGAAAAAAACTTTAAAAAATGGGGATAGTGGTAATAATAAAAAAAATAGAAACATTGATCTAAGTATATTGTGGTGTAATTTCTCAAGATGGGAACACGTGGGCAGATGCAGGATGAGGGTTCTCTTTTGAAAACAGTGAACTTGAGAAGCCCATGAGACATCCAAGGTAGACATGCCAAGTCTACCTTGGCACATTGAGGTTTCTAGGGAAAAGAAGGAAGTAGATATTCAAATTCGTGAGATTTGTGAACAAGTGTGACATTTAAAACTGAAATGACTTTGAAATAATCCACTTGGGAAGGTGTATAATTAGAAAAAAGAAGGGAGCTCAGATGATAGCCAGGAAAGCCTCTAATGTTTAAAAGTCAAGCAGATAAGGAGAGCTAGCAACAAACCTGAGATGACACAGCCCATGTGATAGAAAAAAAGGCATAAATCATGGAAGTCAAGAAAAGAAAGTGCTTCCAGAAGGAAGAAATTAAGTTGAATACTGCAGAGGTCAAATAAAAGTGGAGAAAGCTCACTACCTGTGTTCACATCCAGACAACTCTGACAAAAGCCATCTCTGCATGCTAGGAGCTACAGTCTGATTGGTATGGCAGGACAAAATACAAGGGGAGAAGACTGAAACAGCAAATACAACATAACTCACCCTAGAGGACTTGCTTTAAATAGGAGCACAGATAGGGCTTTAGCTAGAATGAAAGTGGGTTCAAAGGAAAGCCTACCCCCAACATCTAGGATGAAAGATGCTAGAACAAGTGTGTTCTGTGTTAGGAATGTTTGATTGGAGAGTCACATTGAAGATGCAGGAGAAAAAACAGGATAATTCCAGTTAAATTCCAATTATTGGTAAAAGTAAGATATAAAAATAGGTGGCTTAAGTGGGATGAAAGAAAGATTGTTGGAGGTCAAGGGAATGAGACAAAATCTGCTAAATGTACATTGAGATAATTGAAAATTGTCTCAGGAATAGAGGTGGAAAAGAAGACAATGAACCAGGCATTAAAAAGTTATCAGTGAATGAAGGAATAATATGACTGCAGCAGGATATCTGGCAAGATCTTATAGCATGATTTTCACAGAAACTGTGGTTTTGAAGGAGGGGGAGAGGGTGGTTTATAATTGGTTATCTTCATGCTCTGAAGTTCTTGAGATAAAAGAAATAATGTGTCTCATGCAGCTCTCTTTAAGGAGATGATGTGTAAGGGAACATCTAGATTTCTGTTATGGCAAGAAGGTGAAAGGAAAGTTTAGAGAAAGGACCATGGATATAGGGTAGTTCACAGCTAAGAGATCATGATTCCAGGGAGCACAGTGAAAAAGTTATGTGGGAAATCAGGTGTAATTAGTAATTGTAGAGTGTAGGATGAAGGAGTCCTTGCAATTAATGTTTTAAGTGTGGTGAGGACAGAAGAGAACAGGGATGGGGGGCATGATTGGATTAGCTTTAGGAATCTCTCCTAGGGAGATGGTAACCAGGACAAGCTGCACATCTTTCTGGATGCTCAAAGGACACAGAAAGCAAAGAATGACCCAAGGACAATTCAGGGTTGCTCTCTGAGACAGCTATGACATCCCAGAGCGCACACAATATGGCAGGCAGCACAGAGATGGAAGCAGGATCTGGTGCTGATGATCATCATAGCTCTGAAGTCCTCGCAGTTGTGGCAGCACATGTGGCACTGGTCACCGTTAATCTTTAATGAGACATGTCCATGGTGAAGGAGACATTGGAAAATAATGAGTGGGTTTCAAATATTTAGCTATGGAACACTTTATTCAAATAAAAGTTGACATAAAGGACAAACACAAAACAGTACAAACCAGACCCACTTTTATCCCTCAACTCCAAGACTTGGGGGGATTGGAGAAGCATGCTTTATACACTTCTGGACAGTCTGTTCTCTAAACAAGTTCCAAATCTTATATCTTATATTCAGTGTTGATATTATTCACACTGTTCCAGCTACTTTCTGCATCGATGACATATGTGGTAAAGCCTCACTAATTTTGAATAATGAGACTAATATGATTTAGTAACAAAACCAAATTACAGACGTTTTGTTAACAAAATGCAATTTTATTGCTCTCAAGTAGAAAATATATTATAAACTGAGCTATAAGTGGATATTATTAAGCTAAATGGAATAATTTTATATAAAATTACAACTCACGATAGGCCTTTATAACATGGTGATGTATCACAAACATGTTAATCCTTTAACATAAGAGAAATAATTGCCGTGGTTGAGAAATTGAAGGCTGAGCAAAATTTATTGAGTCCTTGGTTTTCAAAGACACTACCTGTAGTTTAAAGTCTCCCTTCAACATAAGACCATGAAGAATCAAAGGCAAAGAAATTATTACAATATTTACCTGGAAAACATAAGAGTACAAAATTATTGAAAATCTGAAGTGAATAAGGTTGGAGGTAATAAAAGACCATTAATCATGGCCTTTGCAACAACATGGATACAGCTGGAGGCCATCATCCTAAGCAAACTAAAGCAGTAACAGAAAACCCAATGCCATATGTGCTCACTTATAAGTGGGAGCCAAGCATTGGGTACACATGGACATAAAGATGTGAACAATAGTCAACAGATAATATAAAGGGGCAAGGGAGAGGGGAAAGGGTTCTAAAACTACCTATAGGGTACTATGCTCACCTTCTACGTGACGGATTCAATCCTACTCCAAACCCCAGCATCACTCAATATACCTTTATAAAAAATCTGCCCATGTACCCCCAGAATCTAAAATAAAAGTTGGAAAAGACAAAAGTAAAACATACACATATTTTAATGCCAATGAATGCTAATGAAAAAGAATTGTATATCTGGGTATGCGTCCTTGATGATAGTCTATGACAGTGCCTTAAAGAAAAATTGACAGATGCTGAATTAAGTAAGATCAGATAATTTATGTGGGTTCAGGAGTCCTAAAAATTTTAATAATCTAAAGCAGAGCAGATCAATCTTTAATGTGATTATGAATCACCTGGGGATTCTGCTAAAATGCAGCTTCTGATTCCACAGGTCTGGGATAAGACCTGTGATTTCACATTTTTCATGTGATGCAAATGCTGCGGGTCTGCGGCCATGCTTTGAGTGAAAAAGTGCTAAAGTGCATGCAGGCTTTATGTGAGAAAGTTGAATAGACATAGTGCAGCAGTTCTGATATTGCATATTTTTGTGGGAAGATGGAGGAAAATTTTAAGACTATTATATTATGAAATTTGTGCATATGACTTACCTTTACTGAGTAGGATGATTCCTTAATGTCAGCCCATTGTTTGTTTTCTCATCCACACCTCCACTAAGCACTAAATAAGGGGCATTTTGTTGTAATGTATTAAGCAAATTATGTAGACAAATTAACTAAAGTATTTCATAACCCAAATACCCTGATGTTGACATTGGGTCCTGCAATTGGCTCTTTTTACAATAAAAAAGTGTTCTTTTCGGGTAAGTTTATTTTAGTTCACCAATATCTTTTGGTTAGTAACCTCATCTAAACATACTTTCACAAAAATGAGTTGATTCATTAAAGAGTAAAGTCAGTAATTCTTCTTTAGAATCATACACTCATAAAATTTTACATTTAGCAGATTATTAAAGTGTGTGTCATCTAAAATTCTCATTTCTCAGATAAGAATATAGAGATCTCAGTGATGTCATGTGCCCAGCATCACACAGGAATGTAGAGCAAGAATTAGTATCCATATCTTCAGTTTTTCTTTGAACTTTTAAAGGAAAATGTGGGCCTCAGTGCCTCTTTACCTTAAACTCAAATATTGCTTATCTTGTGAAATTTCAACAAATTAAAATCCTCATAATATTCTTCATTAGCAGATTTTTTTCTTCAGTTGAAAGGAAAAACATTAAAAAATGATCAACCAAAAGTATTTTACCCAGCAAAGCAGTCTTTTAGAAACGAGGGAAAAACAATAACTTTCCCAGACAAATAAAAGCTAAGGGAGTTTACTATCATTGTATCATTAGGGCTGTCCTACAACAAATTCTACAGGGAGTTCTTTAAACTGAAGAAAAGCTCTTCTAATTAATAACATAAAACACACAAAAGAACAAAACCCAGTTGCATAAGTAACATTGAGCAATATTCAGCACACTCTAGTACTTGTAGTGATGGTGTGCAATGTAATTTTATCCCTAGTATAAGGGCTAAAGGATAAAATTATTAATAACAACCAGAGCTAAAATAAACTGTCAAGGGGTCCACATAAAAAGTGTAAATTCAGACATGAAAAACGAAATTCTGTGGTGGGGGAGTAAAAATACAGAGTTGTATGCAACCAAAGTGAAGCTTTATTAGCTTGAAACTAAGTGTTATAAGTTAAGATATTCTTTGTAAGCATTATGGTAACCAAACAGCAAAAATCTGTAATAGGTGCACAAAACATAAATAAAAATTATTCAAAATATACCACTATAGCCTTGTAATACATTTTGAAATCACATCATGTGATGCATCCAGCTTTGTTCTTTTTGCTGAGGATTGTTTTGGTTATTTAGGCTCTTTTTTGGTTCCATATAATTTTAGGATTTTTGTTTCTCTGTGAATTGCATTGAATCCATAGATTACTTTGTGCAGAATGGTCATTTTATTGATGTTAATTTTTCTAATCCATGAGCAGGGGACGACTTTTCATTTTTTGCATGTCATCTTCAATTTCTTTCATCAGTGTTCTGTAATTTTCCTTGTAGAGGTCTTTCACTTCCTAGGTTAAATTTATTTCTAGTTATTTTTTTGGTAGCTATTGTAAATGAAATTGCCGTCTTAATTTTTTTTCTCAGCTAGTTCATTATCGCTATATATAAATGCTACTGATTTTTGTATGTTGATTTTGTATCCTGCAACTTTACTTAATGTATTCATCTGCTCTAAGAGTTTTAGATGGAGTCTTTAGTTTTTTTCTAGATGTAAAATCATGTCATCTGCAAAGAGGTAAAATTGACTTCCTGTTTTCCACTTTGGATATCATTTATTTCTTTGTCTTATTCAATTGCTTTGGATAAGACTGCCAGTACTATGTTGAATAGGAGTGGTGAATGTGGGCATTTTTATCTTCTTCCAGTTGCAGAGGAAAGGCTTTCAGCTTCTCCCCAGTCGGTATAATATTAGGTGTGAGTTTGTCATATATGGCTTTTATTGTGGTAAGGTAGGGTCCTTCTATTCTTAGTTTGTTGAGAGTTTCTTATCATGAAGGGACGTTGAATTGTGTCAAATGATTTTGCTACATCTATTTAAATAATCATATGCTTTTTCTCCTTTATTTGTTGATGCCTCATATCATGTTTATTGATTTGCATATTGTTTATATTGAACCATTTTTGCATTCCTAGGATAAATCCCACTTGATCATGGTGTATTATCTTTTTCATGTATAGTTGGATTCAGTTTGCTAGTATTTGGTTAAGGATTTTTGCATCTATTTTGATCAAGAATATTGTTCTATAGCATTTTTTGTTGTTGTTTTTCTTGTGTCCTTGTCTGCTTTTGAAGTCAGGATAATTCTAGCTTCATAGAATGAGTTAAGGACCCCATGATATGATTTGGCTCTGGGTCCCCACCCAAATATCATCTTGTAGCTTCCATAATTCCCACATGTTATGGGAGGGACCTGGTGGGAGATGATTGACTCATGGGGGTAGGTCTTTCTGGTGCTTTTCTTGTGATAGTGAGTAGGTCTCACAAGATCTGATGGTTTTAAAAACAGGAGCTTCTCTGCACAAGCTCTCTCTTTACCTGCTGCCATCCAAATAAGATGTGACTTGCTCCTCCTTGCCTTCCTCCATGATTGTGAGGCCTCCCCAGCCATGTGGAACTGTAAGTCCAATAAACCTCTTTCTTTTGTAAATTGCACAGTCTCAGGTATGTCTTTACCAGTAGCATGAAAACTGACTAATATACCCCAGGTCTTCAAATTTTTTGGAATAGTTTGAGAATTGTTGTTAGTTCTTTGTATATTTTGTAGAATTAAGCAGTGAAACCATCCGGTCCTGGACTTATCTTTGTTGAATAACTTTTTGTCTTTGTAAGATACATTTTTATTACTGATTCAGTCCCATTACTTATTATTGGTCTGTTCAGGTTTTCTATTTATGCCTGATTCAAACTTGGCAGTTCATACGTGTTCAGGAATTTATCCACTTCCTCTTGGTTTTCCAGTTTATTAGCATATAGTTTATTCATAATAGTTTCTGATGTTGTTTTTCTGTAGTATCAGTTTTAGTGTTTCCTTTTTCCTTTCTGATTCTATTGATTTGGGTCCTCTCTCTTCTTCCTGATTACTCTAGCAAGAGGGTTATCAATTTTATCTTTTCAAAAAACCAACTTTGTTTCATTAAACCTTTGTAATTTTTTTAGTTTCTATTTTATTGAGTTCTAGTCTGACCATTATTTTTTCTTTCCTTCTACTAATTTTGGGTATGGTTTATCCCTGCTTTTCTAGTTCTTGAGGTGTACAGTTAGGTTTTTTTTTTAATATCTCTACTTTTTGTTGTAGGCATGTATTGCTGTAAACTTCCCTTATACCACTGCTTTGGCTGTATCTCATTGATTTTGGTATGTTGTGTTTCTATATTTATTTGCTTCAATAGTTTTTAAATTTTCTTCTTGACTCAGTGATCATTAAGAACCATGTTATTTAATTTCCATGTATTTGTACAGTTTCCAAAGTTCTTCTTGTTATTTCTTTCTAATTTTATTCCATTGTGGTCTGAGAAGACACTGGAGAGATTTCCATTTTTAAAAATATTGTTGATACTTGTTTTGTGTCCTACTATATGATCTCTACTGGAAAATGTTCCATGTGCTGAAGGAAAGAATGTGTATTCTGTATCTGGTGGATAAAATGTTTAGTAAATGTCTATTAGGTCCATTTGGGGTAAAGTGCAGTTTAAATCCTATGTTTCTTTGTTAATTTTCTGTCTAGATTAACTGTCTATTGATGATAGTGGAATGCTGAAGTCTCCAAGTATTACTGTATTGGATTCTATCTCTTCCTTTAGATCTAATAAGATTTGCTTTGTATATGCCGGTGCTCCAGTGTTAGGTACATACATGTTTAGAATTGGTATATATTCTGACTTAATTGATCCCTTTATTTATATTTAATGGCCTTCTCTGTCTCTTCTTCATGTTTTTGACTTAAAGTCTCTTTTATAAAATATAACTATTTCTGCTCATTTTTAGTTTCCATTTGTATATAATATTTGCCTTCACCCCTCACTTTCACTCTATTTATGTCTTTTCAGGTGAGATGAGTTTTTTATAGGCAGCATAGAGTTGGGTCATGTTTTCTTATCCATTCACCTAGTTTATATCTTTTAATTAGAAAGTTTATTCCAATTAAAGATTATTATTGATATGTGAGGGCTTATTCCTGTCATTTTATTAATTGATTTCTGGTTGTTTTGTATATCCTTTTTCTCTTCATTTCTTCCTTACCTTATTCCTTTCTCCTTTCCTTCCTTCCTTCCTCCCTTTCTCTTTCTTTCTTCTTTCATTCTTTCTTTCATCTTTCTTTTTTTCTTTCTTTCTTCTTTCTTTTTCTTTTTTTCTTTCTTCTTTTTTTCTCTTTCTTCTTTCTTTCTTTCTCTTATTGTTTATCACAGTGGCTTGGTGGTTTTCTGTAGTGGTGATATTTGAGTTCCTTTCTTCCTTACATGTGTATTTGCTCTACTAGGGAGTTTTATACTTTCCTGTGTTTTCATGATGGTAGATATTGCTCTTTTGTTTCCAGGTGTAGGACTCCTTTAAGTATTTCTTTTAGGACTGGTCTAGTGTGGATGAATTCCCTCTGCTTTTACTTGTCTAGAAAAGTATTTCTCCGTGATATGTGAAGGATATTTTGGCTGAGTATAGTTTCGTTGACTAGGAACTTTTTTTTTTCCAGCTCTTTGAATATATCATCCCATTATCTCCTGGCTTGCAAGATTTCTGTTGAAAAATTTACTGTTTAGTCTGATAGGGGATTCCTTATAAGTGACTACATGCTTTTCTGTTTCTGTTTTTAGAATTCTCTATTTGTTTTGACTTTTTACAGTTTGATTATAACGTGCTGTGGAGAAAACCTTTTTGTATTGTATCTGTTTTGAGATCTCTGAGTTTCCTGTCTCTGGATATCTAATCTCTTGCTAGACTTGGGAAGTTTTCAGCTATTATTTTGTTAAATAGTCTTTTCTAACACATTCTTTTTCTCTTCACCATCTGGGACATCAAATTTTGAATATTTGGTCATTTTATGGTGTCACATTTCTCACAGAGGCTTTAAAACTACAAACCACTGCTCAACAAAATACAAGAAGACACAAACAAATGGAAGAACATTCCATGCTCATGGATAGGAAGAATCAATATCATGAAAATGGCCATACTGCCCAAGGTAATTTATAGATTCAATGCCATCTCCATCAAGCTACCAATGACTTTCTTCATAGAATTGGAAAAAAACTACTTTAAAGTTCATATGGAAATAAAAAAGAGCCTGCATTGCCAAGACAATCCTAAGCCAAAAGAACAAAGCTGGAGGCATCACGCTACCTGACTTCAAACTATACTACAAGGCTGTGGTAACCAAAACAGCATGGTACTGGTACTAAAACAGGGATATAGATCAATGGAACAGAACAAAGGCCTCAGAAATAATGCCACACATCTACAACCATCTGATCTTTGACAAATCTGACAAAAACAAGAAGTGGGGAAAGGATTCCCTATTTAATAAATGGTGCTGGGAAAACTGGCTAGCCATATGTAGAAAGCTGAAACTGGATCCCTTCCTTACACTTTATACAAAAATTAATTCAAGATGGATTAAAGACTTACATGTTAGACCTAAAACCATCAAAACCCTAGAAGAAAACCTAGGCAATTCCATTCAAGACATAGGCATGGGCAAGGACTTCATGTCTAAAACACCAAAAGCAATGGCAACAAAAGCCAAAATTGACAAATAGGATCTAATTAAACTAAAGAGTTTCTGCACAGCAAAAGAAACTACCGTCAGAGTAACACTAAACCTACAGAATGGGAGAAAATTTTTGCAATCTACTCATCTGACAAAGAGCTAATATCCAGAATCTACAAAGAACTCAAACAAATTTACAAGAAAAAAACAACCCCATCAACAAGTGGGTGAAGGATATGAACAGACACTTCTCAAAAGAAGACATTTATGCAGCCAACAGACACATGGAAAAATGCTCACCATCACTGGCCATCAGAGAAATGCAAATCAAAACCACAATGAGATACCATCTCACCCCAGTTAGAATGGTGATCATTCAAAAGTCAGGAAACAACAGGTGCTGGAAAGGATGTGGAGAAATAGGAACACTTTTACACTGTTGGTGGGACTGTAAACTAGTTCAACTATTGTGGAACTCAGTGTGGCGATTCCTCAGGGATCTAGAACTAGAAATACCATTTGACCCAGCCATCTCATTACTGGGTATATACTCAAAGGATTTTAAATCATGCTGCTATAAAGGCACATGCACACGTATGTTTATTGTGGCACTATTCACAATAGCAAAGACTTGGAACCAACCCAAATGTCCATGAATGATAGACTGGATTAAGAAAATGTGGCACATATACACCATGGAATACTATGCAGCCATAAAAAATGATGAGTTCACGTCCTTTATAGGGACATGGATGAAGCTGGAAACCATCATTCTCAGCAAACTATCGGAAGGACAAAAAACCAAACTCCGCATGTTCTCACTCATAGGTAGGAATTGAACAATGAGATCACATGAACACAGGAAGGGGAACATCACACACCGTGGCCTGTTGGGGGTGGAGGGAAGGGGGAGGGATAGCATTAGGAGATATACCTAATGTAAATGATGAGTTAATGGATGCAGCATACCAACATGGCACATGTATACATATGTAACAAACCTGCACATTGTGCGCATGTACCCTAGAACTTAAAGTATAATTTAAAAAAATAAATAAAAATAAATAAAAATAAAAAGTAAAATAAAATAAAAATAAACCATCTGGGAAAGAAAAGGTATGTTATTCCAGTCACAATCTTCAATCACATTCCTTTCTCAAGAGACTTGAGTTCTGCTACCTGCTGCAAAACTTAATTTTTAAATATCAATGCAGGAAAATGTTCATTTAATCAAGCTGTGTTTTTAAAAGCATATTAACAGCATTTGCAATGACCTGGATGAGATTAGAGACGATTATTCTAAGTGAAGTAACTCAGGAATAGAAATGCAAACATCATACGTTCTCACTGATATGTGGGAGCTAAGCTATGAGGACAGAAAGGCATAAGAATGACAAAATAGACTTTAGGGACTTGGGGGGGAAGAGTGGGAGGGGGCAAGGGATAAAAGACAACAAACATGGTGCAGTGTACACTGCTTGGGTGATGGGTGCACCAGGATGTCACAAATCTCCACTAAAGAGCTTACTGATGGAAGCAAATACCTCCAGTACCCCAATAACTTATGGAAAAATAAAATTTTTCAAAAAGCAAATAAAAAAAAGAATTTAAAAATTTTTTCAGATTGAGTTATTTCAGAAGAGCTGTTCTCAAGTTATTTCTTCCTCTTGAACTAGTCTATTGTTGAAGCTTCCAAATGTATTTTATCATTCAATAAATTCTTCAGTTTCAGAATTTGTTTGATTCTTTTTTATGATAGTTATCTCTTTGCTAAATTTCTCATTCACATTCTAAATTGTTTTTTTGATTTTTTGTATTGCTTTTTCTGAGCTCTCTTGTATCTTACTAAGCTTCTTTAATATCATTATTTTGATTCTTTTTCCAGGATTTCATATATTTCTTCATTGTAATCTGTTGCTGGAGAATTATTGTATTCCTTTGGAGGTGTCCTATTTCCTTGGTTTTTTATGTTTCCTGTGTCCCCATGTTTATATGTACACATACGGTGTAATAACTTCTAATTTTTTGGATTTGCTTTCATTGGAGAGGAGTTTTTTCTGAAGACATATCTGTAGTTCTGGTTACATAAGGAATTTTGTTTTTGATTCTGAGCACATGCAGTAGTATAGTCTTCATATGATCTATTTGGGTCTAAACAGTATCAGTAATGTTTGTAATTTCCTCAGTGGCTTAGGGTGTGGTTGTTTGTGGAGGCTGTGATGATGTTTTGCTAGGGACAAAGACATCAGGTGAGCCAGTCCTCAGGCCCCATTGGTGGCAGCTGCAGGCCAAGCATGCTTGTCTGGACCCCAGTATAGCATATGCTGGCATTGGTATTAGTGGGTACAGGCAGGGGGGATTCTTGAGCCTTCAGGATGTCTTGCCTGGGTGATAGTAGTGGCAGTGTTGGGCTGGGCACATGAGTGACTCCTCAGTTCCTGGGCAACAAGTGTGGCATAAGTGATGGCAGTAGGAGCGGTGGGACAATTCTCTAACGCTCAGGTGGTCCACACTGGTGTTGATGATGGCTGCGATAGGCTGGGTAGGTCAGTCCCCAGGCCCACAAGTGGCACGTGGGGGTGGGTACCAGCTTTTGTGGTAGCAGAAGGTTGTGTGTGCTCATACTCTGGCCTCCTAAAGGAGTGCTCAGGGGCCAACAATAAGTAGGGCATTATACTTCCCAGACCTCCAGATGGCACGTTTGGGCACTGGTGGGTCAGAGTGGAGCCAGGTGAGGTTAGCCTATCCTCAGGTCCTCTAGTGGTGCATGAAGAAGCTGGATATGGTAGGCAGGGCTGGGTTAATCTCCAAATCCCTGGTGGAACGCTCAGGTGTGGCTGGCAGTGGCTGTGCTGTGGCCCTGCTGCAGGGGAGGGTGGGGTTGTTTTCAACAGTAGTAGCTATAAGCAGGTAGCTGGGGAGCTTATGCTTCAGCCTCAGGTGGTGGCTATAACCAGAGTGGCCCTTCCTTAGGTGCTTTTAAATGCATGGTGAACTTGCTACTGAGGGCAGCAGGGTTGTTGCCAATGACTCGTGCTTCTGCGCTGGTGGTGACAGCCTGCAGTGGTGCCTGGCTCCAGGAAGGGGATGTCAACAGGGATCCAGGGATGTAGAGATGCAGGTGCTGTTGGGCCCCAAGTGCTTTTGGGACCCTGAAATTAACATAGGGAGCTACCTGGAGACCACATGATGGCACTGTCCCAGAGAGGAAGCTCACACTGGGTTCCCAAAATACCTGGAATCTAAGCAGTTACAGCGAAGCACCATCTTGAGAGCTGGGCTCTCAAAATGAGGGGCCACATGGGTAGAGGGGGCTGTCCTATGGCTAAGATTGCAGGAGTCCATGGTGGGAATATGGACTGCTAGGGGTCACTTACTTACCCTTTCTCCACATTGGGAAGCCTCTTCAGGTTCTTAGGTAATCCCAGCCAGCCAGGCTGCCTCGCTTCTCTCTCTTTCCTTGTCTTAGGTGTCTCCTGTCACTTCTGTTGAATTCCAGTGTTCTCTCTTGGGTGATCTATTAGAAGTGTGATTATTTACTCACTATTTTGATTCTTTCTTTGTGGAGGAAGTGAATACCAGATACCTGTATTCAGCCATCTTGAAGTCTGATTTTTTTTTGAAATGCATAGTGCAGCATGCTGAATAAAAATAATTGAGTACTGTACATTTCAGTACTGCTAAGAGAATATATTTCTAATGTTCTCATCACCAAAAAAGTTACATATTTGACGTGATAAATATTTTAATTAGCTTAATCATTCCACATTATATTAAAAAAATCCTAACAACACTTTGTATGCCACAAATATCTACAATTACAATTTGTCAATATATAATAAACATTTTTAAATGAATTTCAATGATAGTGGGGATAAGCAAATATGTATGTAACCAATTAACTCTAAATCAAGATAGACTGCGATAAGTGGAACAAAGTATAAAGAGAAACAGAAGAAAAATAGATTAAATCCAAAGTTGAAGATCTGGAAAGACCTTTTGGAGGGGATGGTCACTCAATTGCATCTTCAAAGATGGCTGGAACTGTAAGCATCTGTGAGGACCATTAAGTGAGCATCAGGTATCTGTACAAGTCCCCATCTCCAGCTACACCACAGTCACCAGTGACAGGAGCCACATCTCATTCCTCTTTTCATTGGTCACTGTTCACAGCACAGGCCTCGGGCATAGTGTGTGCTGATGGTGTTTTAATTGGATTATTTTGACTAGGGATGTTTTTGTTGGCAATATTTCTTAGTTTCTTAAGGACAAATTGGTAATAGTTTAATTTCTAACCTGTTACTTAGAAACTCTTAAGCATATCTACTAGAATTCAATACAAACACTCCAAGGACATTAGAGACATTTCGTCAAGTGCCGTGTTTCCTCCAGAACAAAATGTGGAGAAATGTCATCAACAAAATGGAAAATAAAAGTCAAGTTTAGATTCATCCATTACAAAAAATATCCTCACATTTATAAGTATATTGTCAGTGTAGAATACACGAGTTTTATGCACCTCTTCATGACATTTTTCTTATAATTTTTTTAGACAGTAAAATATTTGTGCCTTGAAGTATGTCAGGATGAGCAGTTTTAAGGTTTAAAGGCATGGTTTAGGTCCATATGAGCCTATATTCTCAAATATCTTTAACCAAATGACCGTATTGTTCTAGAAAGAGATGTGTTCAGGGGAGATGTAATGCAGGTTCAGGATGACAGCCTTCCACAGCCTCTGATTATTGTCCACACAGGGCACTGAACGTCCCCAGTAATCTGTGAAATATGCAGAAGGTAAGCTCCCCAGCTTGAGTTCCTTGCCACTTAGCCCTGGTGAGCTGGCTGGGCTCCAGTTCAGGTAATTGCATCCTGTCTGCTCAAATTTCCTTTGCAATTTCAATCAGATACGTTATCCTCCTTAGCATGGCTGCCCAGAATGATAGTTCAGGATTCCCTTACAGCTGCTAAACAGCTGCTGTGTTCAACCCAACAGGTGACTACGTTTCAGTAGTGGGTAAAATGATTCCTTGTTATTTCCTTTTGCCATCACAGAGGCATTGTGAGGCTTAATTAATTAAAATGTGTACAGCTTCCAAGGTGCAAGTTGTGGTAAAGTTAGCAGACATTAAGTACTAAGCATTTTTAAAGATCTGCACCTGGCTTTCTCTGAAAGAAGAATCTAGACATGAGATACTCCTTACACTATGACACATCAAGTTTAATTTTAGTAAAATATTTTTGGAAATGGATATTGGTTGAATTTAGAATTATACAACATGTTATCTCTTTTGTCATTGTAAATGATATTCAGTACTAATGAATCAACCTTGCACTTAGAGTTTCATCAATAAACTTTTCATTGACGGCTCGACATTACTAATTGTGAGTGTGTTGACCTTTTTTGTCCACCATTTCCCCTAATTCTGCCATGTGACTTTCTATGCATGCACCTTACTCACGGAAATATGCTGTTTTTTTAAAAAAAAAGCTATCCCAAAATTTAACGTCTTAAAACAATCATCCTTTCATTACATTTTATAATTCTGTTGGTAAGGGATATGAAAATAGCTGGGAAATTCTTCTGCTCCACCTGATATTGACTGGTGTCATTTTGTTGTGTTCAGCTGGGGTGGCTGCATCAGACTGAAGTGTCTGCTAGCTTTATTTACAAGCTCAGTCCCTTGGCAGAGTTAGATGGAAAGGTAGACTCAGCCGAGTCCCTCTTCATCTAATGTCTGAGCCTCTGCAGATGGTCTCTCCAGCAACATAGTCGAACTATTACCTGGAGACTCAGGACTTCAAAAGCCTAAGACGGAAGCTTCCAGTTCTCTTGAATACTAGAGCTAGAAAAGGCACATGTCACCATAATTCTATTTGCTTGATTAAAGTAGTCACAGGCCAGCCCAGATTCAAAGAGAGAGAATAGATAGGTCGATCTCTTATGAGAGAAATATCAGAGAATTATGGGCATCTTTAATCTACATACTGACCACATTACTAATGTTATTATTCATGGTTGTTTCAAAGAGACCTGAGCTTTCCACAAGGGATCCCTCCACAATTAAATATCCAGAAATAGCGACAGAGTCTGTACCAACCTTTTGGACTTCACATTGATCTAAAATACCATTGAAACAGAGCAAAAGCAGCTACTTCTTCAGCATTATCACCTGTAAAATGTGCTAACCACAACAATTCTTATTTCTCTTCCCTAAATCACTCAATGCTACTTCCCTGAACTATCATTTTAAGTAAAATTGCAAACAGTTTTAATTCTCCAAAGTGATTTTACACCTGAATACTTAAAAAGACTTTCAGTGGAGGTAAGTCAGATATTATTTTTTTCCATTTTGCTGTTGACGAAGTTGAAATAGAGGTGGGAGATTTACTAGGTCTCCAAGCAATGAGTGATGAGTCACTCATTGATGGCCATTCCATTCAGGATTTTATCCACTTTACTTCATATGCTTTCTGCCCACCAATATTTCATTCACAATCTAAACATCTTTGATGAGGTTCAAGCTTCTGACTTGATTACAATGGAGATATTTTTGCAAGAGGGTAAAGCAGCTCTGAAGCTAGATTTTCATGGAGCGATGTCTAAGTAGGGCTTGCTGTTGCTGTTCCTACTTTATTTTTCCGTGGGCATGGAGTAGGAGAGTATGGCATGATTGAACAATGTCTGGTTTGCTCTGTTTAGCCATGTCACAGCCAGAGATGTAAGGTTGTTCAAGTCTTCTGGATTTTCTCTTCCTAAAGCAAAATGCATTGTCTGCATTATTCTTGCTCCTTTTCTCTAATTCTTCATATCCTTCTCAGTCTTGAAGGCTCACCTTAGTTCTTCCAACTTCTCTGAAAGACTTCACTCACTACCTTAGTTTGCATTTTACTCTTACCCATGAACTCATACAATTTTACAGTCTGGAGTATGCATTATCAGAAAGCAATCATTTTCATTCTTCTGCCCAGCAAGATGTTTTAAGCACCACCCCTGTGTATATTTCTAGGTTATAAATCACCCCGCTGATATAAAACCCATCACATAGTGATCCTGCTCCACAGAGCTAACAGCATTTCAGGGGAAATTCACTGAGAAAACACTACACGCTAGGCACTGTGGACTTCATATACTGGGACTTGACATAGTTTATCTCATTGACATCTCAAAACAATCCTAGAGGGCTTTATAGATGGTGCATCTGGAGTTCTGCAAGGTCAAGTCACTTGTCCAAGGTCACATTACTCGTAAGTGGCAGAGAAAAGAGTTAAGCTCAGAACTGTGTAACTTCAAAAACAAAGCACTTGGCCATTAGGCTATAGTGTCTTCGAATAATTGTATTATATATATGCACTTTCATGTATATGTATGTGTGTGTAGTCTAGACAGAATCATCCAGATAATTGTATGGTGATATTTATATTTCAAACATCTTGTGTAGCATAAAAAAGGAACTGTCAACTATTAATAATAACAGTAACCAACATTCTTCCGACACTTTCACTCTTTTATTGGACTTTCACATACGTTATCCATTGAATTTTAAATAGACCACAGATTCCACAGGTCTCAGAATCTTAGGCTAACAAGGTAGTGAGGATATAGTTTCTAATCAAAATCTTTGATTAATTTACTAACTGGCATCTTCCCTCTGTTCTTGCAGCCATTCTCTGAGGTTATATTCTACATCTATTCATGGTTATAAAAGCAAAATAATGATCACAAATGTCATGACAATACTTTCCAACAAATACATCAGCATTAATATTCTATATGAATTAAATAATTTGATTAACTAATAATTTAATGAATTAAATAATTTAAAACAATCATATAAGATATGTATTATAATATACTATTATTATTTCAGTTGATATATAAAGACATGAGACACATGTGAGAGCACATGGACACACAGAGGAACAACACACACTGGGGTCTACCAGAGAGTGGAGGGGAGGAGGAGGGAGAGGATCAGGAAAAATAACTAATGGGCACCAGGCTTAATACTTGGGTGATTAAATAATCTGTACACCAAACCCCATGATAGAAGCTTATCTATATAACAAACCTGCACATATACCTCTGAACCTAAAATAAAAATTAAAAAATATATATTTTTTAATTTGGGCATCCTCATCTAAATAGGGATATTTGTCAAAGCATATCTACATTTAGGATCTAATTAAATGACTGTCTACATTCCAAATCATGACTTTAAACTTGATTGCATTCTCTTGGACTTAACATGTAGAATGGCTGTGAGGGAACTTGAAAACCAGGAGGTGGAAAAAATCCAAACTCCCCAGTCCAAAATAAGACTCAATTTTTAAATCCCTACAGGTTTTCTTCCTCCTAGCAGCTGGCTGCCAAGAATGGAGTGAATTCACCACAGTCCTGCACAAGATTTAATGGGGTAATTTAAAAGTGTGCTAAGAGTTTGGCCCAGGACTTGGTTTTGCTTTTGCTCTGCAGATTTTATGTTGGTGGAAGCAGTTCAGGCAATCCATCATTTGTGCATGGCGATGCCAGTGACACAAGGCAGTAAGGAACAATGGTACGAAGTGAGTAGTCCAACTTTGGCAGCACCCTATAGAAGTTTTAAGGACCCTTTGGCTGTGGTTACTGTTCCTCTCAGATAACCATTAGCAGCAAATGACGGGAAAATGGGACTTCCATTCCCTCAATCTGCCTAGACTTTGCTTTCTTTTTTTTTCATTTTTTGCTTACTCTTTATGCATCGATATGCAGATTGCAGATTCACTTTTATAAGAAAGCCTCACATGATATTCCTAATCTGGTAAATGTGAGAAATGGTATCTTTAGAGTATTGTAAGTGTTATGGATGAGACAGATCATCTTTTCAAACACTGGTGAGAAATTTTTTTCTCCTTTTCCATGAATTGTCTGTTCATTCCATTAAGCAAAGACCAAAAAAACTGCTGTAGTGAGCTAGGAAACAGATACCCACTTATGATGATTATAGAATTATAAAATGTATAGTAATTTGTCAATAATCTACTAAAAATTTTAAAGTGCTCATTCCTAACAATTCAGTTTCTATGTATTTATCTTACAGACACATTTATATATGTGCCAAATGGCATACTTATAAGACCTTCATTGCCACACTTCAAGTAAAAAATAAGATCGAAAACAGTATTAATATTAATAGATATCTGGTTAAATCAACTATGGGAAGAATATCCACTTCCAGCCATGATGGAGTAACTGATATGAACTAGCTCACCAATCATAAATACCTATATGACTAGATAAAATATATGAGACAGTATTTTCAGCATTGAACAACAGACAGCATAAGAATGTGATCCCTGAGAGTGGAAAAACTAAAAATTTGAGACCCACAATTGCCCAGCCTTCTACATGGAGATAATCTCCTGACCGTGGTACAAAGAGCTGAAATGAAACAGGTCATGGCAGACATGCCAAGGTGAAGAAGCAGAAATCGGAATTGGGGGCAGCTGAAGTGGCTGGAATCTATTGCATCAAATATCAAAAACAAAAGGGGAATTATATTCAGAAGGGACCTCCGTGAATCTACACAGAAGCTACATATGAAACTTCACTGTCAAAGAACATTTGGAAATTGAAATAAAATATAGTATCATTTAGAAAAGCACAAAAAAATATAAAATACATTGGGATAAAATACCAAATATGTACAATATTTTATGCTAAAACTACAAAAAATGTTGAAACAAATCATAGAACACTTAAAAAACAAAAAAGATAAATCACATTAATGGATTGGAAGTTTAATATGTTAAGATGTTAATTCTTCTATAATTGGTAAATATATTTAATGCAGATCTCATCATGTAGACATGAAAATGCTAAAATTGATATGAAAGAGCAAAGGAACTAAAACAGCCCAAACAATTTTGATAAAGAAAGACAAAGTTGGAAGTCTCACACTATCAGATTTCAAGATTATAATAAAGCTACAGTAATCAAGACATAGACAAAAGGAACAGAATATAGTCCAGAAACAGACCACACATATGTGGTCAATTGATTTTTAACAAAGAAGCTAAGACAACTTCAATTAAGAAATGATAATATTTTCACTGGGTTCGGTGGCTCATGACTGTAATCCCAGCACTTTGGGAGGCCCAGGCGGGCGGATCCCCTGAGGTCAGGAGTTCGAGACCAACCTGGTCAACATGGTGAAACGCCATTTCTACTAAAAATACAAAAATTAGCTGGATGTGGTGGCACATGCCTGTAGTCCCAGCTACTTAGGAGGCTGAGGCAGGAGAATCGTTTGAACCTGAGAGGTGGAGGTTGCAGTGAGCCGAGATTGTGCCACTGCACTCCAACCTGGGGGACAGAGCAAGACTCTGTCAAAAAAAAAAAAAAAAGAAAGAAGAAATAACATTTTCATCAAATGATAGTGAAACAATTTGGTATCCACATGTAAAAACAAAAAAAGAAAAAGAAACAGAGCCTATTTCTTAGGTTAGACAAAGATTTCTTAGCTAAGACACAAAACTGATACATACGCAATTAATAAAATGAAAAAGCAAGCCACAGACCAGGAGAAAATGTTTGCAACTTACATATCATGCACATGGCTTGTATCAAGACTACATAAAAAATCTTGCAAATAAATGGTGAAAAGAGAAACAACCCAGCTTTAAACTTGGGCAAAAGATTTGAACAGGTAGTTCAAAAAAGAAGACATGCAAATGGCTAATAAAAAGATGAAAGGATGTTCAACATCATTTGTCTTTAGGATTCAAATTAAAACACAGTGAGATCTTTTTGAACACGCATTAGAAAGGCTCTAATGTAAAAGACCAGCCATATCAAGAGCTGGAGATCATGGACAAGGGAAACTCTCATACACTACTGGCAGAAAAGCAAAAAAGTATAATTTGGAAACTGATTTGTCAGTTTATTAAAAATGTAAATATATAAATAGTTTGTTACCCTGCTCTTTTCTTGCTAGATATTTACCCAAGACAATCAAAAACATATGTTCATAAAAGACTTGTACACAAATGTCCATGGAAGATTTTTTTTTTGTGATAGCTCAAAGCAGAAAATAAAAGCCAAATGCCCATTGACAATTGAGTGGGCTAATACATATTTTATTTGTATACCACATGATATGTATGGTATACCTAAATAAAGGAATTCTTCTCAGTAATAAAAAGGAATGGACTACTGATACATACAACAAAATTATGTAATCTCAAAATTATGATGCTAAGTAAAAGAAGTCACACAAAAACACAGTATGTATTGTAAGATTACACTTACGTATAGTTCTATAAAATGCAAATAAATCTACAAGTGACAGAAGCAGGTAAGTAGTTGCTTAGGGATAGGGTGGACAGAGAGAGACGGATTCTAAATGGGCATGAGAAAACTCATGATGAAAATACTTATTATCTTAATTGTAATGATGGTCTCACAGGTGTATACATATGTTGAAACCTATCAAATTGTGCACTTTAAATATGTGCAGCTTATTGTACTTCAATGATGCCTCCCTAAAGTGTTTTAAACAATTATATGGCCCACAAAGCACATCTTCCAGCCAGAGTGGCCTGGCTGTGGCCCAACAGCTTGATTTCTCATGTGTCAGGAATATCACAAAAGCCAGAAGAACACCCTGAAATAAATAGAATTCTGCCACAGAATGATCCAAGTTCGTGTATCTATGACATGCTGCAGGGAAAGAGAAACTTTCCTTCTCTGTCTTATAAGATTTGAAGAAAACCAGCCTTCCAAAGGACTGTTTTGCTGTGGCTGACTGCCTTCCCCCACCTTGTCATAAGTTGTTCAGCCATAATTAGTTTGCTAGCACCAGGTTCTGCAAAGCCAGGGGGATTTCTATGGTTCAACACCCAGTTCCTAAAGATTCTAGATGACTTTATATCTGGATCCCTGCTGTTATCAACTGCTGCTTTTCAGTGTGTTAGTAGTGGCCAATAGGGTTGGCTATAGTCAAATCTCAAGGATTCCTTTGGTTTAAAAGATAAAGTAAATCCCCTGAGGAATTTTCTAGCCAGCCTCAGTTAGCAAGATGAGTTTATCACATCTGGGACAGGAGAAAAATTATTCTAATTACATCATTTGAATTTTTTATTCCAGGGTCCACTTAGAGGTCTTTCTATCTGGTGTTTCCGCCTTGCAGGGCCAGCTTCCCAGCTTGGAGCTCTCATGAAGCCATATCAGATGGCTGGGCAGAAATGTAGGAACGGGCAATGCAGAAGAGAATTTGTCTACTCCAGATAGAGGCACCCAAAGCACAGCAATGCACACTGGCCTCCATCACTCCTGCAGTGTGCTTCGGCCCTGGCATAGAGAAAAGTCAGCTGCAGAGGATTCAACACTTTCTCTACTAACAGAATCTATGCCAGTTTGGGGAACAAAGAGGATTTAGTCTCTTTTCTGTCACTGGCAGCCAGATCAACAGGTAACTCAGATATAAGGGTCCTCATATGACATCGTTTGTGGTAGCCTCATGACATCTTCCTAACAATCTTTATTCTCCAGAAAAGTATTTCATTGCATCTTGAGTAGGACAGATTATTTAACTTCTCAGTACTTTATTTTCCAGTTATTCATGCATTCATTTATTCAATGAGTAGTCAATATATAACTACCTACTATGTACAGGTCATTCATGGACTTTTGGTAGGAATTAAGATTAAAATCTATATCTACTAGAAACCAACACAATTTACTTTTCTCTCCATCATTAATAATATAAACTATCTTTTGGAGCCATTATTATGCACCAGCTGTTTTTCATACATCATTCCTTTCCTCACAATGCAAGTTAAGTTTAACCAAACAATGGTTAAACAATTCACCCAAAGCTGCAAGCTTCATAACTGCCCAAACTAGAATTTGAACACAAATTTAGAAATATCTCAAACCCACGCACCTTCCACACTATCAGGCACCTCAGTAGATTACCCAGCCTCTTTTAGTGGTTTGAATATGGTGATGCTTTCCTATATTTTAGCACTTCAGCAAACATGTTCACATCTATTATCCTTGGAACATTTTATTGGCCATTACAATAGTAGGAGTTGTCTGGCTGCATAGGCCCTTGGTAAATTCCTACGGTGCAGTTGTGGTTCTCAGTTTTTAGGTTCAGAAATAAATTTTGTTGGGCCAGGCATGGTAGCTCATGCATGTAATCCCAGCACTTTGGGAGGCCGACGCAGGTGGATCACTTGAAGTCAGGAGTTTGAGACCAACCTGGCCAACATGACAAAACCTCATGTCTATAAAAATACAAAAAAAATCAGCCAGGCATAGTGGCACAAGCCTGTTGTCCCAGCTACTCCAGAGGCTGAGGCACGAGAAACGCTTGTACCCGGGAGGTGGAGGTTGCAGTGAGCCAAGATCGCACCACTGCACTCCAGCCTGGGCAACAGAGTGAGACCCTGCCTCAAAAAAAAAAAAAAAAAAATAAAGAAAAGAAAAGAAAGAAAAAGAAAAAAAAAATCAATTTTGTCCATCATCAGGAGTGAATTTGCTAAATGCATGGGAACCTGATAAATAAGTTTAATTTATTACTTAAAAGACAAAATATGCTCAGAAAACAAGGTAGAATAGTGGAATATTGGGCATAATGTCTCATCCATTGCATAAATGTGTATAGTGTTATAGTGTGCTAGGTGCCAGCATCATTATAGGTGCTAAGGATAAGATAGTGAATGAGAGGCTGGGCGCCGTAGCTCACGCGTGTAATCCCAGCACTTTGGGAGGCCAAAGCAGGTGGATTACCTGAGGACAGGAGTTGGAGATCAGCCTGACCAATAAGGTGAAACCCTGTCTCTACTAAAAATACAAAGATTAGCCGGGTATGGTGGCAGGTGCCTGTAGTCCCAGCTACTCGGGAGGCAGAGACAGGAGAACTGCTTGAACCCGGGAGGTAGAGGTTGCAATGAGCCGAGATTGCGCCACTGCACACCAGCCTGGGTGACAAAGTGAGACTCCGTCTCCAAAAAAAAAAAAAAAAAAAAAAAACCATAGTGAATGAGATCAGCAAGGTCCCTGCTATAATGGTGATTACGCTGTTAGTGCTATGATTCAGATTCCTAACTGGGAGGAAGGTAGACACACGTCATTGAAGTCCAGCCTTGACTATGTAGTTTGAGGTATCTGTGGGTTAGCTAAGAGGACATTTCTAGGAGAGGTAGTACTGTGCCACAGCTGGCTCACAGCAGCTATGAAGAGCCAGTTGTTAAATTTTCAGGAATTTTGTAAGCTGGTTGATGTATCAGCCATAGTCAGTATTTTTACACCATGGCAATTGACAAACTTCAAACTAGGGCTTTTCTTTCCTCTTCCCATGACAGCTGGTTGTACAAGATTTACCAGCACATCACGGGGTAGAGGCAGAGAGGGCTGGATATGTGGACCAGGAGAAAGATTTTAGCATCCTTGGCTTCTAAATTTTGTATTTAAGTTTAGGGATTGTTAGAAAAGCAGAGGATAAAGTCTTGGGATAGAGAAGCTAGCTTTGGAGAGAGTGATAAAAGCAGAGGATTGAGAAAAGAGCTTAACAGAAAAAGAAAGAAAGAAAGAAAAAAAAGAAGAAAGAAAGAAAGAAGAAAGAAAGAAAGAAAGAAAGAAAGAAAGAAAGAAAGAAAGAAAGAAAGAAAGAAAGAAAGAAACTCCAATGGTTAGTGGAGGAGAAAAATGGAGGAAAAAAGCCCTGGAAGAGATTTAAATGACTCACGTTTGAAGTATAAGGAAGAAATTTAACAAGAAAAGTGTAATAAATTTCCAGAAGAAAGTGTTCCACTTTGCTACGTGAATCTTTTAAAACCGAAGTTTAAAAGGTGTCCAGGAATTTCGGTGGCTGGGATGGGATGAATCCTTGATAAACTTGAACAAAGCATTTTCCAAGAGTGATGGGGAATGAAGTCAGATGCAGAAAGGTGAGAAGTAAATAGGATATGTTTTGGAGATTACAAGGATACAGGACCAGAGAGTGCATGTCTGTTGACTGGGAACCCCTTTCTTAAAAAAGTTGAATCTTCCTTTTCCAGGCCTCACCCCGTGGATTCTTATTTTTTTTTTTTCTTCATGCAGGATATGCCCTTCTGTTAGCATATTCCTTTTTCACATGGAGGATGAAGAAGGCAACAGCTTTAGCTCTGCTGAGCAACCATGCTCCCCTGAGACTGATGGCTCCCAAATCATTGAACCTGGAAGTTCATCTGCTTATCGTTTAGGATAGGTTTCTCTACAGATGGCTAATTTCATTTCCCACATGCTGAATTTCTTTCTAGCTTTCTGCTCAGAGGGGAATCTAAATTTCATGCTCAGGGAGTGCCCTGCTCTTACCCCATGAACATAAGCTCCGAGAGAGAATGTTTTCTCTGCTCATTTCTAATTCATAAAATATGCAGCAAGTTTGTGGAAGAGGAGGAAAAAGACATTACATTGCCTACTTGGCAGTAACCATCCCATCCCAACCAAGAGGGGTGGCCTCATCTGCATGCATATGGAGAGGGTGTGGTCAAACTCTGTACCATGATGTTCTACTACCCAGGTCTTAGCCAGCTGAGCTGAGGATGGACAACTATTCAACAGATGGTCATCTCAAAATCTGGAGAGGGACTTGCTGGCTTACAAAGACAAGCTGAAATAATCAGATTACCTCTCTCTTAAACTTCACTCTGGGACTTTTAGCTTGACTCCTTCCAGCATGGGCTGGAAGTGCAAATAAAAATAGAGAGCATATGGATAGGCAGGAAGAAAAAATCAGAGTAGAGAGATGACCACATGATTCCTGAGAGATACAGAGTGTTTAAGGCTACAGCTGAGCCTTACAAGAACTGGAACTTTGGAACTGGAAAGTTGCACAATGTCAAATATAAAGGACAATGTCAAATATAAAGATAATTTACTCAAGGTTTCAGTTTATTACAACAAAAGAGCCCTCCTTAACATTGACGTGGATTTTATCCCAGACATTACATTTGCATTTACTAAACACTTACTCTATGCCAGATGCATAGAGAATAAGGCCCTATCTTCCCTGTCCTCAGTTCTCTGAGTGGAAAATAGAAAAAAAAAATCTGTTTGCTAAGTAAGGTGTCCTTGAAAAAGGGAAAAAGGGAAAATTAGAAACAGCACCTAACGTCACAATTTGGTGGTAGAGTATTTCTGCAATAATTGAAGGGCAGCCTGATTTTCTATCAGCAAATCAAGGAAGCTCAGTCTCAAATAGCTGGCCACAGAGTATCTGCAGCTTATCTGTGTTTAGAATCATTGGTTCGCCACTTCAGACAGTATAGATCTAGATCTACTAGCCCATTTGACAGTCTGGTTGGTTTCTCTCTGCTACAAGGCCACAGTCTGAATGCTATTTCTTGGTTTTCTCAAGAGGAGTATCTTGAGGTGGCATGGCTAATTCTTAAAAAATACATATTTTGTTCCCTATTAAGAGGCCCAAAACCAATAAGCAAGAATAATGCACAGACTTGAGGCACCTAGATTAGGATTTGGTAAATGGGAGCTAAGTAGGATGCAAGAATTATCTCACATAATCCTTAAATAGTACCATAAAGTACCTACTATTATTATTTCCTTTTTTTTTTTGAGACAGGGTCTCACTCTGTGGCCCAGGCTGGAGTGCAGTGTTTCAATCATGGCTCATTGCAGCCTCAACCTCCTGGGCTCAAGCGACCCTCCTACTTCAGCCTCCCAAAGTGCTGGGATTATAGGTGTGAGCCACCGTGCCTGGCCCATTATTTACATTTTGTGATTAAAAAACAAACAAACAAACAAAAAACCTAAAGGTTACTGGGGTTAAGTCAACTTGCCAAGGTCACCAGCCAGAGGTAATGGATTAGGTCCAGTTGTATTTCCACGGTCTTCATTATGACACTATGCAGGAAACATCATGCTTACATATTCTTATCCAAACTAACTCATATCATTGGCAATAGCAAGATAATCAACAGTGTAAGTTACACTTTCACTCATCACCCTCAGAGTAGCTGTTCTCTTTGGGGAGAACAGTTGCATAGAACAACCTAGAAAATGTGGAATTTAATCAAATAAAGGATAATGCATGAGTAGATATTCAATGTCCTTATCTCATCACACATAAAAATAAAAATATGTATGTGTAAATATTAACTAATATTCAGGCCTATTACAGCAAAAAAAATGAAGAAAGAAGGAGGGAGGAAGAGAGGAAGGGAAGGAAGGAAGGAAAGAAGGAAGGAAGGAGAGAGAAAGAAAGAAAGAAGAAAGAAAAGAAAGAAAGAAGGGGAGAAAGAGAGAGAAAGTGAGAAAGAGAAAGGGAGAGAAAAAAAGAAGGAAGGAAGGATGGAAGGAAGGAAGGAGAGAAAGAGAAAAAGAAAGAAAGAAAAAGAAGGAGGGAGGGAGGAAGGAAAGAGAGGAAGAAAGGAAAGAAAAAAGAAAGAGAAAGAAAGAAAGGAAAGGAAGAAAGAAAGAAAGGGAAAGAGAAAGAAAGGAGGGAGGGAGGGAGGGAGGAAGAAAGGAAGGTCTACAATACTTACAGCAATTGTTGAAAATGGTGAGCTGGTCATAATTATATGTAACTGAACAAGGTAATATGTCAGTGTTTTCTTTGGTAAACAAAGATGTTGGAAACTTTTAATTATCCAGAAAGTCTCACAAGCTGTGGCTTATATCCCCTCCAGGCTGCCAAGGGCTGCACAAAAATAGTTTGTGCCGTGATGGAAACACAGAGTTAAATAATGAAGCAGCTCTCCCATCTCTGGGAGGGAAGCAGGACAGCTTTCGAAAGTATTCACTTTAGTGTTGACTGGAGGGAAGAAAGAGAAAAAAAAATAGGCCTTCCATTCACACACCAGATGTTCCCACTAAACAACCACTTTCAAGAAAGCTAAGCTTGCGCGGATGACGATCATTGTTGAGTTTGGGAGCTCAGCAGCCATGGAAGAAAATTCCTGGAGGGGTGAGAGCTGCCCATTGCTGTGGCATGCCATGGTGTTCTGGCCTTGGCAGGGGTATCCATGTCTCTGTATCTCATGAGCTGCAAGAACCCCTGCCTATCCCTAGGCTTGCAGAGTCCTCTGCTCTGGCTCGTTGCTGGAGATGCGCACTGTGAAACTCAGCTGTTCGTGTTTGTGGGTGGTTGCGGGAGCTGCCTTTCTTGTTTCTTCAGATTATTACAGTGAGGAGGGGGAAGCTGTCTATATCTCTTACATTGTCCTATATCTCTTCAGTCTGTAAAGACACTCTGAATCACAGGGATGAAGGAGGGATCCTTGTTTTGTGGTCTGACCACTGCAGGATGGTGCCTTATGTCAAGCTTCCTAGAAGCACAGCCTGACACAGTGATTTGGGGCATGTAGGGCACTTATTTTATTTATGTTATTTTATTTTGAGACGGAGTTTCATTCTTGTCACCCAGGCTGGGGTGCAATGGTGTGATCTCGGTTTACTGCAACCTCCACCTCCCAGGTTCAAGCGATGATTCTCCTGCCTCAGCCTCCCGAGTAGCTGGGATTACAGGCATCCACCATCACGCCAGCTAATTTTTGTATTTTTAGTAGAGACGGGGCTTTGCCATGTTGGCCAGGCTGGTCTCGAACTCCTGACACCAGGCGACCCACCCGCCTCAGCCTCCCAAAATGCTGGGATTACAGGCATGAGCCACCACGCCTGGCCAGGGCACTTATTAAGAGAGTGGTGTAAGGGAAAGAGAGAAGGATGGAGGGGAAAAAGAGCGGAACAAGGATGTAGTCCCAGGTTGAATTCAGTTTTGACTTGTTTGGCAAGGAACTCTGGAGCATGAATTATGCTGCAGACTTGCCCTGTCAAGGAGTTGGGGTTACTTGCAGGAGCGATGGGGACTATTCTGGGGCAGGAGCTGTGAAACATTAGCACCCAACACTCACAGATGCTGGTGTTGGGTGCGCCACTGTCATTAAAGGAATGTAACTATAAGTAAAGAGAGAAATCAGGGAATTGCCTTCATATTTAACTCATTGTGGCAGCTTAAGCTTGTATATTAAATTCATTACATAATAGTGTATCTCATTTGATACATATAATGACCTGATAAGGTGGGCAGGGCAGATGTCGATTCTTTTCAGTACTGACTGCTATTTTACAAAAAGAAAATGTGCCCAGGTTGACTGCATTACTGGCCTAAGTAAGCCAGATTATATGAGAAGAGTTGCAAGTAGAACTTAGGATATCCAACTTCAAGATCTGTGTCCTTTCTGCTATATTGCTCTGTATCTCACATGATAAAAGATGAGAAAGCTTAAATGGTGATAGCAAGCATACAGGTAGTATAGCAAACAAATACTGGAAGAAGTAAATAAAGGTGATAAGAATTGAGCTGAACTCAACAAAAGAAAGTCATGGTGGGGAACCACATCTATGCTGGGTGTATTCTATGGTGGTTGAGATTTAGCTGGATAGAAAGATGAGACATTTCCAGGCTCAGGTAGTCCAGAGACCAGAATGACCTAGGGTCCATCTAGGCAGAGCATGTGCCCCGTTCTGGAGACAGACTAGAGTAGGATAAGCAATGGTAAACTGTGTGTCATGCTGAGGATAGGCCTGTGTAGTGGGTTAAATGGTGACCCTACGCAAGATATGACCATACAGAACATGAATATGACAGAACATGAATATGGGGAGAGGGCTGTCAGCCACTTCAGCCTGTCTCTCCTCTCACTTGTCTCCCACATGGTTTTTTTCCCATCTACCCAACACACACCCTTCTCTAGCTTTTAAATTTGGCTATCATTTCGCATTTTGTTAACTCCCGCATAACTGGTCCTGAGCAGTGGAGAGTTGCATGAAATTGCTTTCCTCCATTAGATGAACATAAATAAAGCCATTTAAATTCAATATGCATTTCCTATGAAGCAACAGTAGGGTTTTAGAGAATGAAGATGGTTTAGGAGAGGCCAAGGTACTCAAAACTGCTCCACTCTTGTCTCAAACACACCTATCCATGAAGTTCCCAAGAGTCCCAAGAGGAAAGACAAAGGAAAACAAATTGCTGCATTCCTGTTCCTAAGACCTGGACCACTAACCCTAATGCAGAATGTTTTGAGAAACCTGAGTGAAGCATGTGACCCAGCCTGGATATTTATAAGGCCTCTTCACCAGCCTCTCCTCTCCTGTAAGCACCACTGAAAATCATGGGATCTAATGGCTCAGTCTATTTTATGAAAACACAGAAACCTGCAAGAGGGCATATGAAAGAAAACTCCCTTCTTTCTTGAGAGATGGCCACAGCATGGCAGCAGGGTGGATCCTATAACTAGCAAAGGGAGCCTCACCTGGGTCCTAGAAACTGGAAATCAGACCACTCTCTTTTCTCCTTCAGGTGGAAGTGGGGGCAGGGCCATCAGTGGGAAATTTATGAATAATCAGTCCGTAGGCTGGTGTGATTAAAGGGCTTATATAAGTGAAGGTACCTAACAATAGTAATTTACAAAACACAGACCACAAAAACAATCCCGTAACAGACAGCCCAGATTCACTCTAACCCACAGGACTGGACCCTGGCCTGGTAAGTTTCCTTGGGAAAGGAGGAGCCAAGGAAAATACATGGAGCATGGAGCCTAGCATTGCGTGTTAACAGCTAAGTATTGGGAGAGCCGCTGTGGAATCCACACAGATATGCTGCTTATCTCAACTGTTATCCTTTTGCCTGTATCTTTCTTTAACTTTTTTTCTGGGATAGGACTGTGTAGTGGGTTAAATGGTGACCCTACGCAAGATATGACCATACAGAACATGAATATGACAGTCTTCTTATTTGAGAAAGAAAAAGGATCTTTGCATATATAATTAAGGAACTTGAGATGAGATCATCTTGGATTAATGGGATGGACCCTAAATCCACTGACACATATGTTTATAAGAAGGAAGGGAAAATTCACTGAGAAGGTGAGGTGAAGATGGAGGTGGAGACTGGAGTGATGCATTTACAAGCTAAGGAATGCAGAGAAGCTCGAGCAGCCACCAGAATCCAGGAGAGAGAAATGAAACAGATTACCCCTCAGAGACTCTGGATGGAACCAACCCTGCCAACTCCCTGACTTTGGACTTCTGGCCTCTAGAATTATGAGAAAATAAATTTCTGCTGTTGTAAGTTACTCAGTTTGTGGTCATTTGCCACAGCACTGTAGGAAACTAATGCAGGCTTTTAGTTGCTGTTCACTCTCAGGTAGTAACAACACGGTGGGTGGATGAACCCCCAGGATGTCCCCAGCCCAGGTACCTCAGCTATCAGGAAACAAGGCCAGCTGTGTATCTAATCTGCACTGAAACTTGGGAGCTTCCACAGTCCATTGGGGCCCATGACCTCACACAGAAGCTCCTGCCCTGGGCTCATCAGGCAACATCGCTGCTCAAACACATCCCATTAAACCTGACTCAAGCACATCTCAACACCACTAGGAAATGTGCTCACATGACAACTGTTCTCTTTTTTGGCAAAGGTCTTTTATCAAACAATACAGAGAATATTTTCAATCATTCCTACATCACAATGAAGAGACAAACCCTGTTAGTGTGTGTTCACTGAGAAAAGAAAAGAAAAGAAAAGAAAAGAAAAGAAAAGAAAAGAAAAGAAAAGAAAAGAAAAAAAAACCCAAAGGTAAAATACCACAGTTGGTACATCCAGAGACGAGCTGGGGCTTTGATGCTCCATGCATTTTAGCAGGTAGCTGACAGGATGTAATTCAATCTTTTTAACTTCATGATATATATCTATGTCAGTGACTTTAAGATAAAGAAAAGACTTCAGTCAAAAATGAAACTTCAGATGATTAATGTGGAGAATGTTGAATAATATACAAACATTTCTTTCCCCTCAATCAGAGAGATTCTAGATTCTGCTAGTTTCAATTCCTGTCACTGCCATCCTTTTACGCAGAAAACAATTTGGGAGGGGGAAAGAAATGAAACGGTGGCACTTGGGGTAGAAAGAGGGAGGAATTTGAGGGTGTCAGGGAGACTTAAAAAAAGGGGAAGAGAAAGAAGCATGGAATAATTGAAAGATCCTAAAAGATGCAAGGAAATTGCCACATTGTTGATAATAACCATAATAACAAAGCTAATGATAGGCTTTTGGAGAGGGAGGACCTTGCATGGTGTCATATTTGTTATAAAGAAAAGGAGACGTTCAGTTGGCAGGGATGGCTGCATTTAGCAATTTGGCATTCATCCTCCAGCAGCACACCAACCACGTCATGGGCCAGCCACTTGTCTCCTACACTGTCCCGGCTCTAATTTTGCTTCTACAAAATTATTGGTATTGTGGCTCTTCTCTGAGACTTGACAAAAGAACAGGTGTAAATATTAGTGGGGGTGATGGGGTTGGTTTAGGGACTATCTTTTCAAAATTTGTTTCATTGTTTCCTATAGGAGGGCGAAGAGGCACCACTGCGTTGTTGGATGGGTTGGAGTAGAGACCTCTTGAGGGGCAAACAGGACGCCTTGGGGTCTGAACCTTGCTTTGCTTCGGCCCAAGCAAAGACTTGCCTAGAAAAGCATGGAAGGAGGGTGGGGGTGGAGGAAATGCTTACTGATGTGGAATCTGTTATACTTCAAATGCTTTATATTTTTATTTATATTTATTAATGTATTTTAGAGACAGGGTCTCTCTCTGTCATTCAGGCTGGAGTGCAGTGGTGTGGTCACAGCTGACTGAATCCTTGATCTTTTGGGCTCATGTGACCCTTCCTACCTCAGCCTCAGGAGTAGCTGGGACTACAGGTGCTCACCACCATGCCTGGCTAATTTTAAAATTTTTTTAGAGATAGGGTCTTGCTATGTTCCCCAGGCTGGTCTTGAGCTCCTGGCCTCAAGAGATCCTCCCACCTTGGCCTCCCAAAGTGCCGGGATTAAGGGCATGAACCACCATGCCTGGCCAGCTTTATATTTATTATTTTATTTTCTTCACAAGGACAAAAGAGAAAATTAAGGCTTGGGGAGGTCAGAGACTTACCCAAGACCATACAGCTAATAAATGCAGAAACTGGAATTGAACGCAGATCTCTAGCCCTTCAAAGGAGAAATTCTTATTATACATCATGCTCCTGTCGCCAAAGGGAGATGAAAAGCCCTTGATGAGTGTGAGGTGGGGAGTGATGACATTAATTCTGAGAGCTCAGAGTTGGAGACAATTCATCTGAAGGAAGAAAGGTTACACCACATGTCAATAAACACTCACAAAAAGCACATATTGGAAATGGAAAAAATTTAAGAGTAGATCATTTTCCAAAGTGGATGGGGCTAGTTTGAGCCTGCTCACCTTCCATTCTATGTCCTCCAAGTCCGAGGCTTCCAGAATTCCAAACCTGAATCCCTAGCCATCACCTTGTGCCAGAGCGTCAAGTAGGTACTAAAGTCGAAGGAAGAAATTTTATTGGAAAATTTCTCTTCTGTTTAAAATATTTTCTCAGCACCAGGGATGCTTTCCCCAAGCTAAGTTCTTCACCTCGCAGTTTATGCAGAATTTCTTGCCTTGTTTGATAACCACTTAAAACCTTAATTGGTGTTGTTTTGTTCCAACATTTGTTAACAATGGCAAATACTTATGGATGGTACATTGCCAGCAAAATTACTAAACCAAAAAAGTTTCTCTGCTTTTGTGAAAGGAGAAAGATAAAAGAGAAGCAGAGAGCAACATTAGAGCCATTTTCTTGGCCAAGAATCTTGAGTAATGATTTCCTGTATCTTTAATACTTATTGTGAAGGACCGAACAAATTACAGTTTCTTTTTCCACTTATAAAGACCAATAAACCATCCTCTAGCAGATATTACACTACTACAAGTTCTCTTGAAATTATTGTCTGTCTTTGACCTATGGATGTGCCTGTGTTAACTATGCTTAATAATCAGTATTGCAGAGCAATCTCATTATGTTTCTTAAAAAGTTTATTAAAAGGACTCTAAGGCAATACCCTAAAATCCACAAGACCTGGAGAACCATTATGAACATCTGATGTGACTTTTCTTTTTTAACAAATAACTATGAAATGAATATGTGCTTATTTTTAAAAACTTGAAATGACATAGAAAATAAATACCTTGTCATTGCAGACTAGCAGCTTTCTAGCTCATTTCTGACTGTTCCCCCATCCCCATTAAACCTCCAGTTCTGTCCCTTCTCCAACTTTCAGCATTCCATTATTTTTCCTGAGAGAAGAGGAAAGGACTATTCTAGATGGAATAAAAAAGTGTGAGAAAATTACAACATTTAAAAATAGCTAGTGTAGATGAAATTTCCTTTGAGAATTCTTCCTTAACTTTCACCACAACTTTTCCTCTGGGGAATAAAAGAATTATTCCTTTCCTCTCTTTGTTACCTTTCCCTAAATTATTAAAGCACTTTGTCTCCCAAAAGAGTGTGTGATAGAAGATTGAAAACAACTTACAGGAATGTTCCTTAAATAGTAAGAAGTTCCACCAGACCAGGAATGAAGTTTTGTATTCATATCTGAAATTCCAACATTTAACATAGTACCAGCCACTTGGTTTCTTAGTTTATGCTCAACAAATACTCAAAGAACAGTGATTTTAAAAAGCACTTGAGGAGTTATTGTAGTGGACATTCATTCTCTGTCCAGCATCCATTCTGCCTTCATAACCATTCACTTATTTCCTTAGAAGGGAATAGGAGAGAGAACTTTTCCTATAGCATATGTTGTATAAGAGGAACAGTAACTCCAAATGCTTCTACTACTACTTCAAAAGCCAGAACAATAGTTAGGGATTTCTTCCCTAATCTTTTTCTTCACTGTTTAGTGTGCTAGGGCTGTCATAACAGTGCTATAGACCAGCGATCCCCCACCCCCGGGGCAGCGGACCCATACCAGTCCCTAGCCTATTAGGAACCTAGATCCCTAGCATGCACAGTTCACAATAGGATTCACACTCCTATGAGACTCTAATGCAGCCAAATGATCATTACCACCTGAGCTCCACCTCCTGTCAGGTCAGCAGTGGCATTAGAGTCTCATAAGAGTATGAACCCTAATGTGAACTGCGCATGCAAGGGATTTAGGTTGCACACTTATTATGAGAATTTAACTAATGCCTCATGATCTGGGGTGGAACACTTTCAATACCGAGACCATCTCCCCCACCCCTGCCCCCTGTCTGTGGAAAAACTGTCTTCCAAAAAAACCACCCCTGGTGCCAGAAAGGTTGGGGACTGCTGGCTTAAATAACAGAAATTTATTTCATCACAATTCTGGAAGTTAGAAGTTTTAAATTCACTCCTTGGCTTATAAGATGGCCATCTTCTCCCTGTATCTTTTTATGACCTTCCTCTGTACCTGTCTGTGTCCTAGTTTCTTCTTCTTATAAAGACACCAGTCATTGGATTAGGTCCCGTCCATGTGACCTCATTTTAGCGTAATCACTTTATTAAAGACCTATTCTCCAAATACTATCCCATTCTGAGGCCCTGGGAGTTAAGGGTTCTGACACACGAATTTTGGAGGAACACAATGCAGCCTGTAACATTCATTGCACACGCAGTGAGCATGGGAGCTAAACTTTATGGATTGTGGGAACCTACCTGGAATTTTTAATCTTCAGTAACATAAAGGTAGAAGAGACGACTGCAGTTCATTCATCCCAGAGGAAAGGTCTGATAAGATGCTGTCTGCTAGAAAAATATTCCTAATCTTCCTGATTCTCATCCCTCCAAAGCTATCTTGGCTTCTGGCTCTTTCCAAGATAAGTGTTTCAAACCTGATTCTGTGAGTTCCCGATAGCCTTGTAATAAATTCCTTTTGTTTGAACTAGCCAGGATCAGTGTCTATTTTCTGCAACTAAGAACGCTATTTGATACAGTATTTTAAAGACTTTTTCAAAAACCATCTCGATTTGTGCTCACTGACCTCTGAGTATGTTGGGGTTCACCACCCCCATGAGAGGTCCTCAGAAGACACCAAAGCTGATGGGAGATCTCCATAAATATAGTTTTGGGGCTTAGAGAGTTGAATTTTCACTCATAGGTCAGCATTTGAAAGGGAAAAAATGCCAATTCAAGGGTAAATGGAACATGGACACAATCTCTGACTTTGGATAAATGGTTCCTCTGGATTTTAAGTCAGACTGACCACATTTCCTGGTTTGCTTGAGACAGCCCTGTTTCATGCTACTTTTCCCACAGTAATTATTGATAGTGTCTCATCCATCCCCAAATGTATTCCAATGTGGCCACCCTATTTTAAGTGTGTCACGGCCACTGATGTATCCCTAGTATCCAGAACAGAGCCTGGTAGAAAGTAGGTGTTCAATAAATATTCTATTAAGGAAAGAATGGATAAATCAATGAAAGGGGCCTTGCCCCATTATCAGCTACAGATGCACATTTAAATATTTATTTTTCTTCTACTTGTGCCTCCCACTGGTCTATATCATCAAGCCAAGAGGTTTTGGAAGGACAGCATCTCCTTATGGAGAGCTCCTAGACACAAAGGAGACATGTGTTTGGAGACTTGCCATATTCCTGTTAGCACCCATGGACATGGTGGCTGCCTCTTTAAAGAGGATGGATTTCAAGACAAGGTGTGAAGCCCACCTGTTATTAAAAAGCCTGCCAAGATCTGAGCTCCACTGGGTTCAGTGTTCCTTCTCCCCATACCTGCCCTCCCCACGCATATTGCCTGGATGAGGCTCCAACTTGATCAGTAGGCAACCAACATGCCACTAATTAGGAGGCACAAGGCATAGCGGAGGATGATTAGCTCATGATGAGCACACGCTGCCTAGAGTTGCCTTGTTACTATTATAAATAGATTAGAAATCTGGGGAGCATCTGCATTTCCCCTCACAGAGGAGACTCTGAAATTGACAAGTTGAAATGCAAATGTGTCAAGCAGAGCTTCATAATTGACAAAGATTAACTTTATTTCTCTAGACCCATCTCTCCCTTCTTCTTCCTTTGATACCTCCTCCCTTGACAAGTCCTGGTTGCCAATGAAAGAAACCCAGCAATTCTCCAATTGAACCATAAGATTTTGGAAGGACAGTGCAAGAAAACCATTCTGGCACTCCAAGGACCAGATGTGTTGTTTATGGAGACAATTATGTGCTTCCCAGGTGAGTCTACCCCGAAACCAAGAAAGACAGAATAGTGACAAGAAAAACAATCCTGTTTGCTCTCTGTTTGCTACCACAGCATCTCCTTTCTCTCCCCATGCACTGTGGTTGGACAGACTGCTAATTGCAGCCAGTTCCTGGGATACTGACAGCAATAACCCTTTGTAAATGGGAGTAAGCAATGAAAAACCTTGCACAGTAGGAAGAATCTTCTGGGAGAGGCCCCAGGGAGGAGAAATGGGGCCTTTTTGGTGGTAAGAGTATCCCTGGAGCCCAGAAGCCATCTGCATGTAGGACACTGGGCACAGACATTTCTGCTGAAGAAGTCTCTATTCTTTGGGGAACAGACCACACATTTCCTCAGGAGCAAATCACTGAGGGCTCCACATTATCTGGTTCATTTTTAATAGCTGCAAACAGCATTGTTCCCCAGCGACTAAGCTGTAATGACAGATGGCATGTGTGCCTGTCATGATCTATTTTCCTGTCTTCCCTGGCATTTTGTAAGGAATCTGGATCTTGCATGTACTCTGGAACAGCTCTTCTTGAACCACAGCTCAAGGAAGGCACTGGGAAACTGTGCCCTTAGCATCTCTGGCTATCTAAGAGGTATATTTTTACAAGTAATTGTTTATCGGATATTTTTTTCAATGTGTGTGGACAAAGGAACCCAAGTCAGTGACCCCAGGACCTGGGACTGCACACGTCCTCACGAAACAAAAGCACTATATGGTAAGGGACAGTGAGGGAGATGCAAATGATGTTATTAATACCTGAGCTGAAGAACATAAACAAGCAAGGCCAAAGTGTTTTTGTCCCATTAGCATGGCTACATCCGGGGCACCCACACATGGTTAGAGTGAACATGTTTTAGAAACTGAGAGCTTCCAGTCATTGACTTTATGAGGCATTCTTGGCAACTCTGACTAGAAGAGTCCACCTCTTGCCCCTTCCATATGGTCCAAGCAACATTAGATCAGTCATATTATTTAAAAGGCAATAAAAGAAGCAATGACTTTGGGGATCAATGTGTAAGTAGTAAATTTTAAACAAAATTATCTTCCTCCTGAAGGAGAACTGATGGAGAAGGCATGTCTCTTTAGGTAAATCTGAATTTTTTCCTCTGCAGGTACAGCCCTAAGTGAGACTGCTTGGATAATTTTTACAACTCGAGGCCAGAGACAGTGCTATGTGGGCAAAGATCCAGTGCAATAAAACTAGCACTTCTCATAATCAATTTATTATTTGTGTCTTTACCCAAATTATCTCATTTAATCTAGATTCCAACCTTGGAAAGTAGATGTCATTATTTGTAATTTATAGGTAAGGAAATTGACATAAAATTGATTATGTCATTTTACCCCTCTGAGTCTCAGATAATTGAAAAGTGATGGATCCAAGTTTTAGTCTCCAGTAAATTGAACTCTTAACTGAGGGTCTCCCCCATTTTTTGTATACAATGTTCCATTGGTTCATCTCTGAATGAACCTATGTCTCATCATGATACATGGTCAGAAATGCAAAGAGCCTGTTGAAGGACACTCTGCTACTGTAAAGAACATGGTGATTAAAGTTTAAGGAACATCAAGATGCACAGTGCTTTGGGAATTAATGGTTGGGTTATGTCTGGTCCCCTTTGGCAGTACTGTTGGAGCAGACGAGAGAATTTTGGCAGGATGTGGTATAATCCAGATGAGGCATCCTTATTGCTTATGTTGTTCTCTGGCCTTCCTCCCTCTGAATAAGGCTCATCACTTTAAAAGATGAGCAGCCCAGCAGGTGGAACTGGGGTGAGCAGCTGTCTGCTGAGCAGTTTCATTTCAGTCCAGTGGGAAAAGCAAGGGCGTCAGGCCATGGGCTGCTAAACAGGTGGGTCCAGAGGGCAGCGGCATGAGGAAGGCTGTGAGCCACTGAAGGATGAGTGTACTTGGGATGTGAGATTCTAAACTGTTCTGGACATTATAAAATATGGGAGCCATATGACTGGCATTACCGTCAGGCTCTCCGCTGTTGCCCAGTGATATGCAGTTCAATCTGTTTTGCATTTTGACAGAGATGTGTGGTAGTAAGGATCCCACCTTATTATAATAAACATTGGACTCCATCTTCATCTCTGCATTACCTTGCTTTGTGACTTTTGGAGTCACTTTCCTCTCTGTCTATTGCTCTGCAGATGGGAGTTCTCCTAATACTGCCATACTTCTGGAATTGGCAATGTGCTTTTCACACCTCTGGAAATCAAAACAAGCCAGCAAGGCGGGCCATGAAGTGTTTTCCTTTTACGAATGAGGTACTTGGGTCCAGAATTACTTGCTGAAAGTTAGAGATCTACTAATTTCCAGCACAGTATTCTTTCCAAGGCACAATCCGTCACCACCTTAACTCACAGTGTATTTTTGTCCCAGATAGCTCATTGAGCGACTCTCAAAGTTGCAGCTGTTGCCCAGGAAGAAATGAGCAAATTTGGAAGCTGTTCTCACTTCTGTAGATTAAGGTAACTTGCATTATGATAACAGGAGTCAAAGGACGTGACTTTTACCCAATACTTATTCCTGAACTATTTTAGTGGCAGATAAGGCAGTTATTCTCAAATTTTCATGTACATGAGAATCCTGGAAGAATACAGCCCTGGAGTGCTTCCATGGGCCTAGTTATTAGCTTTACAATTCCCTTAAAGGCAATTCTGATGCAAAGAGTGTCCTCACCACTGGTGAGAAGCCCTGCATGGAAATAGCTGCAAAGCCAACCACACTCTCTGCTATCTGCCTCTGCCTCAGTCTACTACTGAGAAATCTAACAAACTCATGCTGATGGTGAATATAGTGGCTATATTCTTAGCCATGGCTTACCCAAATGACCCAACTGACTCAGATTTTCTTACTGCTTTATTTCTCTTTCATCTCTCTTAATCCAGGGAAGAAACTTCACCAACCTGGGCATAAAATTAACAAGAAAAACTCAGATCCCATTAGGAAGCAAAAACTAATGCATTTAGAAAATTCGTCTTTGGCTTAGGATAGAAATAATAGACATTTTACATTATTTGAAAGCTCCAAACTGTCAAAATCCCTAAAAGAAGTATAGGCACTTAGACCAAGAAAACCCCCTGCTTCTTTTTGAGATACTTAAGTGATATTCTCAATATGTGAGGCAGGTACTTATATAAATTTTTCAAAAGGTGAGTATAACTCAAGAAAAGTTATAGTAAGAATTATACATGATTTTAAAATAAATTCCCAAATCAAAAGAAAACCACCTTTGCTTAGTTCTTTATCTTCAATTTAAGTGCAGAAAATATGATTCCAGAAGATTGAGCCACTTTCCAAAATATGCAACTAAATTATCAACAAATGATTTCTGGTTTCTTAGATCCATGGAACTTTATCACGTATTTGAAACACTAAAGAAATAAGAAGAAACATCCAACTTACAGCCCTTATTCTGGGTGCCCAGTTTACATTTCCTTATTTACCTGGTGAAGAAGAGCCACTAATAAGCAAAGAACCAAAAAACGACATTTGCTGTCGGTTTCATGCATCGAACAGCTGGAAGAAGGAAAAAAAACGGACACATGTTGTTTTTCTCCTTTTCATTGCTCTTGCTTAATAAGTCTTCATACCTGACTTGGCATTCCATCATCTCTACCACTCATTGGGAACTCATATCAAACTCAAAGACCTTGCAATTACCAAGACCTTTGCTCAGAGGTCCCAGCCATATATATGTGAATGAAAAACTTTGACATGGGTTCAAATAGGTCATTTAGTGAAAGCGCTCCATGGGGCAGTGGAAAATGAATAGGCAGAGTAAATCAGATTATTGTTTCCAATTATAGTACCTAGTACCAGAGTAGAAAGAATCTATTTCTCTAGCCATGGAGGTTGGACTTGGCTGTGTGATTTTCTTTAGTCAACGGAATGTGGATGAAGATAAATAAAGTGACCATTTTGAGCCCAGGCCTTAGAGACATAGGGTTGTTCTACTGGCCTCACCTGGAATTCTACAATCCACCATGAAAAAACATGCCCTGGGTAGCTGCAGTTCCAGGATGATGATAATTCATGGAGCAGACTCAAACTACCTGAAACCTCCTTCCAGATCAGACCAGCAGAGCCTGGTCAGTCCTGATATGTTCAGCCAAACCAGAGCCAACCTAAAGATTCATGAGCAAAAACCAAGCATCTGTTGTTATAAGCCATTCATTGTTTTCCATGTAGCATCACTGTAGCAATAGTTTACAGACACAGTGGATAAAGAAAACTCCCCAAAGAGAAAACTCAGCCACGTATGTAGCTTTGATGTACAAAAATACATTTATTTTCAACAATTTCAAAACCACTGTCTTTTTTTTACAGTAGAAATATTCAAGTGGAACAATAAAACCAAGAACAGTATATGTACATATACTGTATATATAGATATGAGTCATGCATTTGTATTCCAGTGTTTAGTACAAGTATTGCAATTGTCTGCCCCATTTAACCCTTGAAACAAAAAAGCAGGATCTTTAGAAATATTCCTAATACTGATCTACACTGTAGCCAGCCAGATTTCTCTATATCACATTCTCTCTGTCTCACAAAGAAGAATGGGAACAACATCCCACAAAAATTAACAGGTACAAAATGTGGCCTTTCCTCCCATATATATACATTATATCATTTTCAAAAATAAGTGTGCTCAGGCTAAGCCTGAAAATAAAAACAATGCTTACAGCATGGCTTAACGTGACCCTATTGAAAAAAATTGGTATGTGTAAATGTGTGAAGGGGCTGAGGTGCTGGAAAAGCTAAAAGGCTTTGAAAGCCACTCACCCCAGAGGCAAGAACTACCTTAAGGGAACTGAAGGCAGACATTTGACTTTAAGGAAGTTGTGTACATCTGACAAGCAAATAGCACAGCTTTGCTAAAATTGCCTTTGACTAATATCATTAAAGGCTAGACCCCTACTTGGCCTGGAGAGTTTTGCATGAACTCATAATTCCACAAATGCCTCTTCCCTTCCAACCTCTTTAACTCCTCCCATGCCAAGAGACATTCACTGGGCTTTACCTAGTGCCCAGGGGACTTTTCTGAGCTCAGAATAGCCTGAGAATTCACCATAAGCATTATGCATTTTCATAGAATCCAATTTAAAAACAGATTGTCATTTTAAGATCCACTGACTGCCTTCTTTAGAAAAAAATATTTTCTCAGACTGATAAATATCAAGTTTTTCCTTTTAGAGAGGAAGCTGTTTTCCCCCATCTGGGTCTCAGTATGAAGCCTCTAGTGGGCCTCTTCTTCACCTTTCATATCATTCTTGGAACAAAAACGACTGCCATGTTCTATGATGTCACTAGAGTCCTTCCTTTATCAATTGCCCCAGAGAAGCCCCTCCCCCCACCCCCCTTTATATACATAAGTAGAAACCAGCTATGGCATGGACAAGGAGATGCAAGAGTTAAGTGTGACAGACAACAGGAGAGCATCCAAACCCAATGCATTGAGCAGGCCTGGCGGGTTGGTCAGCTCTGAGGGCCAGTGCGTAAGCCAACACACGCATCTTTCTTTTTTCTGTTTTCTTTTTTACTAAACATTAAATTATTTCTTAGGAAATAAAAAGCTATTTACATTGTAATTATATACAATAAGCCATCTGTAGCCTCACTATGGACATGCACAAGGCAGGGCCTCTTTCACAAAGTTGTGCATGCTTTCTGCAGCTACATCCACCCCCACCAACCTACTTCCTGCGGATCTAACTGGGAAATGATCTGTGTTGTATGTGTGTGTGCTGGGGGAAGCGGAGAGTGTTGGTGATTCTGCTGTGGGGATGAGAGGTTCACAAAGAGCCAACCCAACTTCAATTTTGAAAAAAGGGAGACCACAAGGAAAAAGAAAGTCTTTAAGCTACCAATGGCAGAGTAAAGCGAGGAGGCTGTGGGAAGATGCATCCTTTGCTCTTAGCACAAATACAGCCATTTATTCCCTTTGTCTCATTTCAATCAGCTAAGAATGCCCTTTTCTCCCAAAGCTAGGCATTTGCCTGCTATTTATGAAGGGGCCCTTGGTAAACAAAAGGTAAAAAAGACATTTTAATTTTTCCATAATAATAGTAATAGTAATCATCAAAAATAAAAAGTCAGAAAGGTGGTTGACCACGTGGCTTGCTGGTATTAAACACTAGTGCAGTTGGGGATCTCCTTTGTGCTTTCGCTGTTTGCAATAGTGGCAATGCCTCCTGCAGAGAAGAGAAGACACAGGGAGAAATGGATGTGAGTTCCACAAGGGCAGGGATCTTAGTTTTATTCACTGCTAAATACCAAGCCACCCAGAACAGGTGCTTAATAGGAATTTATTTAAAAGGCACCCGGATATCGTTACCTATCAGCTCACTGACTTATGTCATCCATGTTTAACATGCTACCTCCCACACTAGCCCACAGGTGGGATCAAGACATTGACTGCTATCTTATATTCTATTGATAACAACAGTAACAGCCAATGTGTATTGAAACTTACTATGTGGCAGGCACTGGGCTAATGACATAACAGCAGGTCATTATCACAACAGTCTTAGAATTGTTTTTTTTAGGTACTACACAGAAATAGAAATGAATCATAAGTACTACTACTCCCATTTCACCGATCAGGAATTTGAGGCACAGAGAGGTCACAGATGTAGTAGATTAGCAGAGCAAGAAAAATGGATCCAGGGCTATCTGATGCCAGATTCCACATTCATGTAATCATTAGTAAGGACATATAATACTTTTGCTTTATAGAAAAAGAAGTAAAAGCCCGTCAGTAATGGATAGTTGGCTTCATCCCTAACCCACTCAGACTCCAGTATTTCCAATCCTGATTAACTTCTAAGGGGAAAAATATCTGCCAATTTCCTGTGGCCAGAGGTGGCAGACAAATTTAAAACATGATTCTGTCACTGTAGGTAGTTGTTTGTCCCCACCCTCCAGTCCAGTAATGTATGGGGGACAGATGAAGCAGGCCAGTGTTTAGAGGACACAGAACAGGGGAGCTTAGTGGAGCAGGAGCATGTACCTATGACCCGCGTGTCCAGCTCTTTGTCCAGCAGCTCCTCAGGCTCCGTAAAGTCACTGAGTGTGATTTTGGGGGCGTTTTCACTTTGGCTCACTGACCCAATCATCTCCTGCTCCTTGTCGTGTTGGACTTGAGCATAGATGTTAATCCAAGGGATTTTCCTACATGGGACAGGAGCAAAATCAGGTTAAGATCACAGGGTGTGCCAAACTTGGGCAGCTGGAAATCCTGGGGGATAAGGGGAGGAAGAAGCTATTAATAGGAAGGGTCCATGTCAGGGAAAGATATTGGTAACCCCAGAGACAATGAGGCTACAAGGTCAAGGAACACAAAGCCAGCTAGGAACCCAGATGCCCAGGGAAGATGTAAACCATAGAACTCCCTGAGGAATGCACCTTTTCCTGTGGGTAAAAAACAAGAAGGTATAAACAAAAAGGCAGTTAGATAATAAAACCCTATAAATATTTACCTGGTATTAAGTTTTTAAAGGAGCTAGACTTTGAAACTCTAAGTGTGTACAGAGTGAAAAGACACCTATTTCTAAGGTTGCATCAATTTAATCAATCCACATTGGCTTTTTTAAAATAAATAGTCAAGAAATAATAGATTCATAGCTTTTGCTACAATTTTCAGAGCATCACTTATGGGATAAGTACCTTAAATACTTGGATAGTTTCCTCATCTGTTCAATGGGGATGACAATAGTTTCTTTTTGGATTTTGGAGATGATTAAGGATTAAGAGAAGCTAAATAGCTCTATTCAAAGACAGAAACATAGTAGGTGGGATTTGGAAACGCAAGGCAGACTAGCTTGGGGTTGGAGAAGTGAGCGGCTTCACACTGAAATCTTCTTGAGGCATTCATCTTCTGACCCATCTTCATTATCTCCTCACACACTGTGTGTTCCAGCCTCGGGAGACTCCTTTGCATTCCTTTAATCCAGGGCTTCTCAAACATTAACAGGCTTAAGCATCACCCAGAGTCTTCCTTAAAATGTGAATTGTGGCTCTGTAAGTCTGGACTGGATGGGTTGAGATTCTGCAATTCTGCCAAGCTCCCAGGTGATGCTGATGCTGTTCATCAGTTGGAGACCCAAATTTTGAGTTACAAGACTCTAATAGAAGCAGCTCTTCAACATCTTGGGGACTTAGAACCAACTGTTCCCTCTGCCTGTAACACACTGCCCTCTGCTCTTCTCAGAGCTTGGCTTACATGTCGTCTCTGAGAGGCTTCCCCTGACTATCCAACTTTCCATTATAAACATGAAACGATGCAACACTGCCTATGTAAGAAATAAATATGGTGTTGGTTTAGGGTGATGTAATAGGCAATGTTTATTGACTTGTTTTCTGTCTTTCTGTCCCACTATACTAACAGCCCCATGTAGGCAAGGTCTATGTTTTCTATCCTCTCTGCTATCCACACGACTTAGCACAGTGTTTGGCAAATGGTTAACATTTATTAAGCATTTTTTGAATCAATGAATAAATTACCTTAAATCCTGTGCTCTTTCTACTTTACTATACTATATTTGTCAATAAAAAGATTATATTTTTATTTTAGAATATCACTTCTAGAAGAGACCCCTCTTACCTCATCAAAGGATGGGAAAATTAGACTAATGTCTAGACATTTCACAAAGCCAATTACTAGCATAGATATCACTGAAACTTGGGACATCGGACACCCATCCTAATCCAGGACATCCCATGCAACTCTAAAGGAAAATCACTTTGTTGTCCTTGTGCCAAGCAGTGGTATTCTCAAGCTTCTACATTCCCCTATCTGCTCCAACTCCAAATGATGCGAAATGTGGAAGCACTTAATACGGGTTTCCTGCAGCTAATTCAGAAGAAAAAATCTGAAAATAGGTTTAAAACACTTAGTTGCTTCTAATTATTTTTTACATTCAGTTTTCATGTCTTTAATGTTTGCTTTCCATACACTAAAGGAGGTGTCCCCATGACCCCTACTGGTCTAAGCCAGTTTAATATAATTTACAAGAACCCAAAGTGAACAGCATCCATGTGAGGCAGCACACTAGGCTCTCTAAATGTGGTATAATTAAAAATTAATGCTGGCCTTTATATTCCTTTTTATATAAATGAAAATACAGTCTAATAACTGAGATTCCTCCCAATCATAAAAGTACATATTGCTCATGAAGGTTGGGATCAACCGTAATATTTATTAGGTCTGGGGGTGGTTAAACCATTCCTGATCACATAAGCCTGTGTACTTCACAGTTGTAACCAGAGTCAACTGCCTCCCCTTTCCTGCTTTTCTCACAATACCTATGAGGATTTGGATAAACTTGCCCTTATAGAGATTATTCGCTTTATTTCAATTTCCAAATAACACATCTAAAAACTGGCATATTTTTCATCTTTTTGCAATCGATGGTTGGAAGAGAATAAATTTTGTATCTCAATTTGCATAATTTTAAAAATTTGTCAAGTTGCTTTTCATTTCTTAACACATCCGCTTGTAGGACTGTTGAGAATATAAGTCTGAACTCCACTTCTGCATACAAGGAATGTGGGAAATGAAGAGATCAAGAGATATGTCTTGGACCAACATTCATACAGGTTTAAATAAGAGGAGTAATATGGATAGGCTCAAGTCTCCCTCTAAAAACAAAAAACAAAACCCAACTGCAGTTTGTATCTATTTATCCATCTATTATGAGTGTTAGAAGCCTGTAGGAGGAAATTTAGAGAAAGCAAAGTGGGCTTTGGACTATAAGGAAAGCCCTCCTAAAAAAACAGTGGAAGGAATATAGAAGCTCAAATGTTTTCCTGGATAGAGAAAAAGCAGATCTTCAGTTATGGAAAGAAATTCTTGTTAGGCAGTCTTCAGAAAGAAAAGCCATCTCATGATGATTTTTAATTACATTACTTGAGATATAAGAAAATAGCAGTCACTATCCAAGAGCAAGAGAGCCTGCGAGAGGCCAGGTGATACTCATTTAAAGGAAGCTTGAGGCTCATAGTAATTCTATTCTCTTTTTCTATGTCAAGTGACCACTTGGGATACTGAGATCATTTCCAGTGCCTGGAACACAGGAAGTACTCAATAAATGTTTGTAGGATGAATGAATGTCTTAATGTGTTAATACTGGCAATTACAGAGAGGAAGCTTTGGATCTGGAAACTCAGTATGGCCAATGATCTGGACACAGAAACAGAAATGTCTTTACACTAAACTGTGCTGCTCAACAGAGCGTTTAATGGCCAGGTGTTGCTGTTTACACTTAATTAGTTAAAGTTAAGTATAATTAAAATTCAGTTCCTCAGTCAGACTACTGGCTACTGTATTAAACAGTACTGATGATAGAGCATTTTAAACATTGCCAAAGTTCTATTGGATAGTAATGAAAGAAGCAAAGGAGACTTTGGGAATCCAGGGCTAGGAACCTGACCTACGTACTTGTTGTGAGCCAGGTACACTCCATGTTGCCATTACTGGGGTTCCATGTGATGAGTGGGGAAAAGAGACCAAAAAAATAAAAGAAAATCCCACAGAATTTCAACCAAAGGGCTTAAGCATTGGGAGTAAAACTTCCAGGAAAAGGAGCCAGAAAAGTAAAGGTTAACTGATGACTAGTTACTGTTAACTGATGCTGCTATTGTCCAGTTTGATTGGAGTTTATTTCCTGTGGCCTCAGCTGCATGACTCACTGTCAGGGACACAGAAAAGGTGGGCTGATACCTGGGAACTACAAAGGTAGAATTTTTTAGAGATGTCATTACCTGGTATGGATTCATTATTAAAGTGTATACATCTAAAGATGCCTACATTAGTAAGTTGACCGTCTAAGGAGTTTAACAGCATTTATAAAAAGAAAACAAAACAAAAAAAGAAGTTTTCCAAGTCACAGTATAAGTGATCCTTAAGTATCCTTACTTTGGATCCACCTGACACAAAAGCCACAAAAGACTCTTTACAGGACTTCTATTGGCCCTTGTCCTCAGCAACTATGCTGCTCTGGGAGTCAGAGATGAGACATTTGGTTTAGTTGATTGTCACGCCCAGCAACCACCAGGCTTCCTCACAATCAAATTCTTGGCTGAGTGAAAAGTGAAATGTTCTTTGCATATAATTGAAGTACATCTATAAATAAATGGGTGTTGCCTTAACCAGGCTGTTTCTATATTGAACCTTTTCTCACTTTGTGACATAAAGGTTTTATCCACCCTTCAAAGGGAACAGGGGTATGTGGGTTAACACATCTTGATCCAAGAGGACATGAACTCACATACTGGTCTACAAGTTGAGTAGGAAGGTGAATCTCACTCTGTCCTTCTAGAGAGCGTGGAGGGTGTTGATAGAATTCCTGCTGCTGCGGCTAATGCTGAGAGGTATACTGAATTAAACTGGTGTTTTTAAGAAAATGAAATAGCCACTAAAGGAGAGATAAGCAGGAAGAAGGGGGGCAGGAAGAGTCAAGCACCTTTACCACTGATCTCTACCAAAACCTAAAAGCATTATCTTTAGTTCCTGGAAAGACTCCAGGACTAAAGGAGGCTTTCAAACTCATCTGACAATAATTAATGACATTTTTACTTTACCCAGGCTTCCCAGGGAGCACATTTCTAGGCCACTGATAAAATTTCTGAGGGCCTATTATGTGACAGTTTATGGCACAGAGGGCATCTTTGGCAGGCATGTGCTTTGTTATTTATAATAGCATAGCTTTTTTGATTACTTAGTTCGTAGCACCTACACACACTATGACATTTAAATCATGTAGCAAACCTATAAAATATTATTGCTATTCTCATTTTACCAGTGAAGAAATTAAGACTTAGAGAGGCAAATAACAATTGCCCAAGGTTACAAACGCTAAAAGTTAAAATTGGATCTTATTTCAGAGTTTATACTCTTAATTAGTATACATCCTAGTAGAAGTTATAATTTGAATGTTAGTACAAAATTATTGATTTCAATTTTACGTTTCTAATAAGTATCTTGTTATACCACCCCTTCTGTGGCTTTCAAAAATAATTTCTCAAGACATGTGGAGTTTTGTTCTCCTAATCAATTTCTCTTTAGAATAGGAAAAAGAGGGAGAGGGATGGTAGTTGAATATCTTTAGCATGCAAATTTAAAGAGAGATGCTGAATAGCTGCAACAGGAGGTAAAAAAATGCATCGGTGTCTGTACATGTATGTATCAAATTTTAGTTGCATTTTCCCTATTTAACCACCTGAATGGATGTTGATCCATATAAAAACATCTTCTGAATATATAAGACCTTACTTTAGAAGTTTGATTGAGGTTTGAAAACCCCTTACACTTCTCTTGAAGATAATAAATTGATTTCATTGGCCAGTCTTTATTTACCTAACTCATTACACCTATAAATCATAATAGATAGAGTTCAGAGTCTCAAACCCATTTAATCCATGACCCTCAACCATTCTTGCTTTTACCCATTGTCAAACAGAAGTTCAAGGAGAATTAAAAATCACATTCTTGCGATGAGTTTAGTAAAGTTAGTTATAGGAAGAATCATTTGCAATGACCCCAACCCCACTACTAAATTGAGTGATAATAGGACATACCTTTTAAACTTGTAGATCAAAAACACAGCCAGGCCAACAAATACCACTGATAATAGCATAAGCATGGCTGAGCTGCTGTGCCCAGCACTGGAGTCCACCAATGGAGCTTGGAAAGAAGAACAGATAAGGAAAAGAACAGATATGCTCACTTGGAAGCTGTTAGCTGGAGGGAGTATTCATTGCAGGAAGGAGGCCACTGATCTCCATCCTTATGTCTAGTCTCCAATTCCCCTGCCTGATATCTGGGTGCAGAAAGTCTGGCTTCAATGATGGCAATGGCACCTGAGTACAGCTTCTTAGGGAAAGTAAACTTCTCTGTTCAGCCTGGGGAAACTTGCTAGTTCTTGGTATAAATTGAACAACGTATGTCCAGCTCAGGGGAGTGGAATAAGGGCTCCAGTGCTCTTTCTCTTAGATAGGCTGCATGCCTGTCACCATAATTACAGGGAGCCCATTTGAAATTTTGGGTTAAGTACTAATGCAGTGTTTCATTCTCTTCCTTTACACTGTTCTGATAAAAACCCACTGGATGGGCACATTTGTGACCTACACCTTGGAAAAGTCTTACATTATTAAGAACCATTTAATAAACAGGCTTTCCCAGAGAGCCCAAAGTAGATGCCCAATGGGACATGCCTTTTTAGATTTTTTCACAAATAAGCCAACTAGAGTTTGTTCCTGTTTCTACTTTGACTCACACATTGTAAACTAGAAGGGAGTTTTAAAGTTCTGTGGCCTACCATCCAAGATTCATAAAATCAGATAATCGAATGAATGAAGAGAGCTAGAGGACTGTCCAATATAATCCCAACTGTCACAGACAAAATAAAGAAATATACAAACAAACAAACGAATAAGGTTAAGACCCAAGTAAATTGTAGGTTTTCTCCGAGACCGTCTAGGGATTCAATGGCAAAGCTACTCCTAAGAAAGTCTTCTTGCAGGATGCCTTCAGAACAATGTGACTGATGTGACCAATCCTTCTGAACCATAACTACAAAAAGGACCCTTCTACAAAGCCACTTTCAGACATTATGCAGCAGGGTTTCATGATTCTCTCCTCCTTTTCTCTCTGGGATAACAGATCCTCTTTCCCATTTCCCCAGTTCCCAGTGGCACTCACCTAACGTCAGCTGTGTGACATACACAATGACTTGTACCCCCGGCTTCAGCTCAAACTGGACCAAATTTTGGTTGAGAGCATTAAACAGTGTTTCTACAATCTGAAAAAATAAGACAGGATGCATGGGGTGACATGACATGCAATGATGCTCCCTCATGGGGTAAGAAACCAAGGACAAGGTCAATAGGTAAAAAGTCACCATGGTTCAATTAGGGATAAGATAGTGAAAAATATTTATCGATTTGGTTCTCACAGCCCTTGGGGCCTTGTGAAACCAAGGAAGTACAGTTGACCCTTGAACTATACAGTTTTGTTTTTGTTTTGTTCTGTTTTGTTTTATACTTTTAGGGTACATGTGCACAACGTACAGGTTAGTTACACATGTATACATGTGCCATGTTGGTGTGCTGCACCCATTAACTCGTCATTTAACATTAGGTATATCTCCTAATGCTATCCCTCCCTCCTCCCCCGACACCACAACAGGCCCAGGTGTGTGATGTTCCCCTTCCTGTGTCCATGTGTTCTCATTGTTCAATTCCCACCTATGAGTGAGAACATGCGGACAGTTTTGAATTAAGCAGATCCACTTTTTTTTTTTTTTTTTTTTTTTTTGAGACTGAGTCTCGCTGTCGCCCAGGTTGGAGTGCAGTGGCGCGATCTCGGCTCACCGCAGGCTCCGCCCCCCCGGGTTCACGCCATTCTCCTGCCTCAGCCTCCTGAGTAGCTGGGACTACAAGCGCACGCCTCCTCGCCCGGCTAATTTTTTGTATTTTTAGTAGAGACGGGGTTTCACCGTGTTAGCCAGGATGGTCTCGATCTCCTGACCTCGTGATCCGCCCACCTCGGCCTCCCAAAGTGCTGGGATTACAGGCGTGAGCCACCGCGCCTGGCCGCAGATCCACTTCTATGTGGATTTTTTCAACAAAATGTGGATGGAAAATACAGTATTCACAGGATGTGAAACCTGCATATACAGAGGCCCAACTACTTCTTTTTTTTTTTAGATGGAATCTCACTCTGTTGCCAGGCTGGAGTGCAGTGGCATGATCTTGACTGGCTGCAACCTCTCCCTCCTGGGTTCAAGCGATTCTCCTGCCTCAGCCTCCTGAGTAGCTGGGATTATAGGCACGTGCCACCACGCCAAGCTAATTTTTGTATTTTTAGTAGAGACGGGGTTTCACCATGTTGCAGAGGCCCAACTTCTTACATGCAGGTTCTGCAGGGCCAACTGCAGGACTTGAAGATGCACAGATTTGGTATATCAGAAGTCCTAGAACCATTCTCCTATGTATACTGAGAGACAACTATAGATGGTAATATTTGCTTATTCTGGAGAGGAGAGTGAGAGACAGAAAGAGGCATGCCTACAGTCACTGGTGAATTAGAGCTATAATAGACATAGATGTTTCATTCAACTCCTAATTCACTGCTCTTTTATCCATGCCTTTATAACCCTCTAAAAAGACCTGTTATGGGTTCCAATGAAAGAAGTTCAACCCATCATTAGCTCTGTAATCTGATGAAGTCATAGACACAGGGGATGTAGGCCGCTGCCAGGATTAAAGCAGGTACATATACTACCAGCCCTCTCCTCTGCGTTTTCTATCTTAGAGACAATGGGAAGCAAACATCAAAGCAGAAGCTGCCTCCTTTTTATGGGATAATTTTTGTTCTTTACTTTTCCCTAGCAAGTCGCAGAACACATAACATCGATTTAATCACTCTGTAATTCCCACATGAAAGCTGAGGCCGACTTAGGCTGTTGTCCCTAACTCTTATCTCGCTGTATGCGCCTTAATATCACAGCTGCTATTCATCACTGTAATTACCTATTTATCTAAATGGATGGATATTGTAGCTTCCAAATATAGTTCACACATGCCACTTGCTATTTCAGAATAAAGAGGTCTTGTAAAAGTGATGTATGCATTAAGAAGCTAAATTTATTTCTGGCCAACTTCAATATGCAACCCTGCAATGCAAGAAATTATTTCTCAGAGAAACTGCAATCACATCTCTACCGCTCAATGTCTGTGGATGGCTGTAAGTAAGGATGGGGTGATGGCCAGTGAGTATCACAGGGACACAAAATATGTCTGTACAATGATTACCTCATATGAGAGCAAATGTTTGTGATTCATGCCGATTTTCTGCAGCCTCATGCTCACTTATTTCTATTGCACCTGACTTAGCATCATGAGAAAGAAAGGAAGGGTGAAACAGTGCAGGCATTAAGACCTCAGGAGGAATAGAGGATGAAAAGGAGAAACACCAGTCCTGCCATCCCCTTTACTTCCAGGACAGCGTGCAGATCACAGTATAGTTCTATATGCCCATTTGATAAGAACAGTAAATCACAATCCCTTTTGGAAATGTTGCTTCCTTAGTTAAAGCAAAGAGAGGCAATACATCCCTCTCCAAAAAATCATGTTTGAAGGCAGTTCATTTTCTCCCCAGAAGCAGAGCTTAACATTGGCCAGGATCTTTAAGGGCCAGTGCAGTTTAAAGACAAGAGGCACATAGTCCCAGAAATAAACAAGGAAATTCAAATTCCCCCCTTCTTTCTCTCTCTGTCTGTCTCTCTCTCTCTCTCTCTGCTGCTCCCCTTCCCCTGAATCCCAGGAAGAGTCACTGGGAGGGAGACATGAGCTGGCACAGGGATGTCAGACATTGGAATGAATAATGCCAGGGGTGACATTCCTTTCTGAGTAGCTGAATGCTCCAGTCTATTTGCACCTGTATTTACTCTGGGTAAGGGTGATTGCTCTTCAAAACCTTGGCTGTTGGGGTAATGGAAGAGAGCCTGTCTCCCTTTCTGGCTGAAAACAGCTTTGTGCCCTCTCAGGGTGTAGGGTGCAGGCAAGGGTCCCAGCCAGATTTACTTTCACTTACTTGTTCCAGGTCCCCTTCATTGCCTTTCCTCCTCTCTGTCAGGTTCTTGGGTGGAAGAATGAAAAGCTCTGCTGAAGTGGGGAGACCAGGAAACACGGCAATGAGGATCTGGTCCTCTGGGACACTGGTTACCTGCAAAGATGTTCAGACAAAGAGAGGCTGTGGAGGAGCCAGCCCTCCCCAAATCAATGACAAGAGCAGAGTGTGCACAGCCAGATGGCTCATGTGAGTTTTTCAAATGCAGCTTTTTAGGCACAGGCTCCAATATACATTCAGGCTTTCTTTCAGTTTTTCCCTTAGACCTGCTAGGTAAAACATTATTAGTTTCACTACCTCCCCTGCTCTTATATACATTTTTACTGAAACTAGAATGGTATTACAAATGATTTTTAAAACATTATTTGCTGGGAACATTGGCAAAAGTTCCTCTCATATTTTCCATTTTTCTATGAGAGCTAGAGCTTCTGGCTGAAACACAGGCTGGGTGCAAATGAGGAAAAAGAAGTCATAAACCAACATGGGAAAATGCAAATTTAAAGAAAGCCGAGCAATACTTGCTTTCACTTATTAAAGCAGGATTTTTTTTAAGTGCAATAGCTAATATTGGTAAGACTGCATTGAAGGAAGTTCCCTCATTTGGCACTGGCAGTGCTAGAAATTGATACATATTGCCAATTTGTTTTCTGAAAGACTTAATTTAAAGGCCATAAAAATATTCATACCCTTCAGTCAGTAACTGTAACTTGGTGAGTTTGTTCTAAAGACATGATCCAAAATATAGGAAAAGCCATATGCAGGAAAAAACACAACATTACTTATAATAGTAAATAAAGGGGAAAACCTCCAGTATTCAAAAAAATAAGCAAATACTGGTATAATCACCTGATAGACTATTATGCCACCATTAAGATGATAATAAGTACTATGAGACAACATAGAAAAATACTTATGATAGCTGCATTCCAATCTATTTCCTTACATTTCTTTGGTTACAACTCTATAAAAATACAAATATATAGAAGAAAAAAATAACAAAATACTAAACGTGGTTAAGAGGCTGAGAATACGAGTGAATTTTTCTATTCCTGAGTGGTTAGTAAAAGAATGATATTGCTTTGTGATAAAAACTTAAAAGTAAGCTTCTGTCTGAAGGCAAATTTTTAAAGAAAACAGGATGCTGAGTTCTCCCCCGTGAAGGGTAAGCTTGTTCTTTCCTGTGTGTCTCCTGAAGATCTTTTATCCAGAACATCACCACCTCTTCTGTCAATCCAAATATATAATTTGTGAATCAGGTGAAATACCCCCATCCTCCAAAGTGCCCCCTGACTATCTCTACCTGCAGTGATCTCCACCTTAGCCTCCCACCCCAAACACCTCCAAATGACCATGTCCACTGCATTTCAGAGATATAGACCATGTCCACCGTGACACATGATTACATCTGTCTGGTGTAGTCTTTTCTCAGATAGATCCTGATATGGTTACGCTTTGTGTCCCCACCTAAATCTCACCTTGAATAGTAATCCCCAGAATCCCCAGGTGTTGAGGGAGGAATCAGGTGGAGGTGATCGAATCCTGGGGGTGGTTTCCCCCATCCTGTTCTCATGATAGTGAGTTCTCATGAGAGCTAATGGTTTTATAAGGGGCCTTTCCCCCTTCGCTCTGCCACTCTTCTCTTTCCTGTCACCCTGTGAAGGGGTGCCTTCCGCCATGATTGTTAAGTTTCCTGAGGCCTCCCCAGCCATGCAGAACTGTGAGTCAGTTAAACCTTTTTTCTTTATAAATTACCCAGTTTCGGGTATACAAGTTTGAGAATGGACTAATACAGGTTCTTATGGTGTGATTGCCCAGATATTTCTGTCTGGGGTCTCACTGTTCCCAAGAATGCTTGACACAGAGTAAAAATTAAATAAATAGTTGCTAGATTGAACAGAAGCAGAGAGTTTGGTTGTTTTCCATTTGCTCAGCTCTGATTCCTATTTGGAATTAGGCTTACGGATTGGAGTTAACTCTCAGGGATGTGATAAAGAAAAGTGAAAGAGCCAGCCCGCAGGGAAGTAAGAAGCAGCAGTCAGAAGCCTAAAGAGTCCACCAACCAGGGAGGCATCCTCTTAACGGCCTGAGATGGTTAGCTAGATGCCTCAACATTCTTTCAAAGCATGATCCTTAGTAGCATTAAGTCCTAATGCCCAAGTCCATAAGGCTGGGGGCCTTTAACTACCTTAAAGCAAGTCTCAGGAGGCCAGACTAGGGGCAAAATGCAGAGAACCACCCAATGCAGTGAAGGGTTGGGTGGTGAGCTTATTAGTGCCTTGACTGGTGTGACCCTTTGTCTCAGGAAAGAACAATGTCAGGGAGTGTCAGTCCACCAAGGCCCTTACAGAGACCTTGGAGCAGTGTATACAGATTCATTTAACCCATCCAAAGGGACATACGAGTGATTGGTCCTTGTGAGATTTGAGGTCTGAGAATCAACTGACAGGACTGATTATTATTATTGCAATTACAAGTTATTTCCTAAAAAGCTAGTATCTTTTTAATGAACGTAACCATACATAACACAACCCAATTCTGGATGCCTTGCAACCAAAGACATATGCTATGATCTGAATGTTTTTGCACCCCCCACCCCCATTCATCTGTCAAAACTTAATATCCAATGTGATGGTATCAGGGTGGGGCCTTGAGAGGTGATTAGGTCATAAGGGTGGAGCCCTCATGAATGGGATTAGTGCCTTTATAAAAGAGACCCCAGAGAGCCACCTTGCCCTTTCCACCATGTGAAGACACAGCAAGAAGGTTCTGCCTATGAATAAGCAAAGTGGCTTTCACCAGACATCAAATCTACCAGCATCTTGATCTTGTACTTCTCCGCCTCCAGAATTATGAGAAATACACTTCTGTTGTTTATAAGCCACCCAGTTTATGGAACCTTGTTATAGCAGCCCAAACAGACTAACACAGCATACATAACAGTCTCATTCTCATCTCATTTTTTCTTTGTTTTTTCTTTTTGGTTTTTTTTTGAGATGGAGTCTCACTCTGTCGCCTGGAGTGTACTGGAGCAATCTCAGTTCACTGCAACTGCCACCTCCTGGGTTCAAGCAATTATCCTGCCTCAGCCTCCTGAGTAGCTGGGACTACCAGCATGCACCACCATGCCCGGATAAATTTTTTTTATTTATTTTTGTAGAGATGGAGTTTCACTGTGTTGCCCAGGGTGGTCTCAAACTCCTGAGCTCAGGCAATCCACCTGCCTCGGCTCCCAAAGTGCTAGGATTACAGGCATGAGCCACCGCTCCCAGCCCTCATTCTCATCTCTTTCTATGAATAGTCTCTTTGTAAAAAGATTTGAAGTGTAGTTACTCTTACAGACCGCTCCATACAGCAATGCTCCTATGTCATTCTCTTCTATTTATTCTTCTTCCTATCTGTCAGCTCCTTCTCCATGTCCTTCCTGGATCTTTCTCCTCTGCCTTGGGGAACCACCAGCAGTGTGTCTGCCTTGTCCCCCAACTCCTCTTTAGAGAGCCTAACAACCTCCACAGCCTCTTCTCTTACATCTCTCCCTCCAGCATGAACCTCTGCTTCATCTTCAGATCCATATTTTCAACCCTCCTGGTCATCTTCAACCAGTTGTTTCTCATGTGCTCCAGACTTACATTAAAAGTCAAATCACTATTGTTTCCCAAGCGTGTTTCTCCTACATAGTCCCCATCTTGATTAATGTAAGGCCATCTCCTACTGGCTCTTGTTATCAGAGAATTTCTCTCTCCTTCTCACCCACACGACATTTCCTTAGTCACCAATTCTATTGTTCAATTTTTTAAGTAGCCTTTGCCTCTTTTTCTTGAGCACCTTATATTTCTGGCCTAGATAACTGCAGTGGTCTTTTAGCTGGTCACCTTTTGTGAAATGTCTCCCCAACTATGCATTGCCACCAGAATGGGTTACTGACATATAAACCTATTCTCTTACTGAAATAAAAAAAAGAATACTTTTCATACTTTTCATACTTCCCAGTGCCTACAGAATAGATGCCAAGCTTCTTTTGGTCTCTCAAACCCTACACAATATGACATAACCATCCTAGCTCAATTTTAGCTGCACTTGCCCTTATAACCTACAGACTGGCTACACCAAACTCTTTGCCATTTCCCAAATATGTTGTACTCTTTTTTTTTTTTTTTTTTGAGATGGAGTCTCACTCTGTCACCAGGCTGGAGTGCAGTGGCGCAATATCTCGGCTCATGCAACCTCCGCCTTTTGGGTTCAGGTGACTCTCCTGCCTCAGCCTCCCGAGTAGCTGGGACTACAGGCACACGCCACCACACCCAGCTAGTTTTTGTACTTTTAGTAGAGACAGGGTTTCACCATGTTGGCCAGGATGGTCTCGATCTCTTGACCTCAGGTGATACACCCGCCTCGGCCTCCCAAAGTGTGCTGTACTCTTTATAGTCCATGACTTTGAACATGCTGCTCATTCAAACACCATCCTGCCCCTGTTAACTGACATTTATCCTTGCAAACACAGTTCAAGTATTCTCTCCAAAGATGTTCCAAGAGTTCAACAAGTATTTATTGAGTTGCAAATCTGTGCCAAGTCTTCATGTCCCTGGATAGCGTGAATCATACTGTTCTCTCTGCCCCATAGAGATGCTGGCCATGCCTCTAGCTTAGAGCTGCTTATACATTAGACTTATTTCTACATTTCAATTGACCATGTTTTATTCATCAATATATTCTAGTGCCTACCTCTGAGAAAATGTTTAACAAAACCCTTTTACTTTCTCTAAGGCAAATTTGACCTTGGATTAACTCTGTAATTCTATTACCCTGCTGGAACGCTCTGTTTCCTGGCCTGTAGCCTTCTGAGTGCAATCTGTGGCCAACGGTAGTCTTGTGAGTATAAATGTTTGGTTGAGAAGATCCTATTGGTGAACAAAGAGCCAGACAAGTGCATAATATTAGCAACAACTCAGTGAGTTGTCCATCCATTAGTGCATTAAAGGGATCAAGCCCCTATCTCAAACAAATTCATAATAAACATTGGGCCAGTTTCCTTCTTCAAACATTGAACTAGACTCTCTTTTATACTTCTCTTCTTCCTTCTTTAATCCTACAATTCTTGCTTTTTCTTCTTCTTCTTCTTCTTCTTTTTGACAGAATCTTGCTCTGTCACTCAGGCTGGAGTGCAATGGCGCAATCTCAGCACACTGCAACATCTACCTCCCCGGTTCAAGCAATTCTCATGCCTCAGCCACCTGAGTAGCTGGGATTACAGGTGTGCGCCACCACATGCAGCTAATTTTTGTATTTTTAGTAGAGGGAGTTTTGCTATGTTGGCCAGGCTAGTCTCAAACTCCTGGTCTCAAGTGATCTGCCTGCCTTGGCCTCCCAAAGTGCTGGGATGACAGGTGTGAGCGACTGCACCCAGCCTCTTCTCTCTCTTTTTACAGAGAAATAATCTTTAACTGTGGAATGCAGTTTCAATCCATGCCAATGTATTGTGGACCACACCATCTAGTTCTTTTCTTTATTCACAAGAACTTAAAAAAAGACAAAGCCAACTTACTTTAACCAGAGCTCGCTTGATGACATTGCCAATATCTTTTCTCCACTCAGGAATGTCAGGATTGTGGTAATCCAGATTAGGAGAGAATGATAAAAGCTGGGACTGGAAATATTCTGCAGGGAGAGAGAATGTTTAAGTGAGGCTGGGAGAGTGAGAAGAGAGAGGGTGTGACAGGTGTGGAGCTCCACCATCACTGTGCTTTTGGTAAAAGGTCTACTCTTTCACCAGGCTTCTGCTAGAATTCCTTGTTCTCAGCTTGTTTCCTGACTTCTGAAATAAAGTAGAATTTGGTGATTAAAAGTAGATTTGTGCTCCTACCAGTTTTTGTTAGTGTCTAAGATCTTAAGCCTTTCTTCCTGTATATTATCTGAAATGAAAGACAATTATGAAACTCCAGAAGGAGACGTCTGCTACTGTAGGTGGTACCAGGAAGAGCCAACACAAAGCATTAACAATTTGGACTTGGTTGGAATGGAGTCTTTTCACTTCTCCTTCTTTAATCCCTTCACCCATTGTGCTAGAAACTGCCTCTGAGGATTAGAAAATAGGTTTAAACTTTGTATCTTGACCTGGTTGGTGAGTATACAAGTGCATTCACTTTGTGGTAATGCATAAAACTAAACACTTGTGCCCTGCACGCTTCTGTATAAAATTTACAATACAATTAAAATGTTTACTTTGAAAGAAACACACAAACCTTCCATGTGCCCCTCGAAGAGCCTGAGAAGCAAGTTTGCAGAAAGGTAGGAAAAAGAATTTACCTGGTGTGAGGCTGGAGGAACATAATCTGATCAGAGGATCACAAGCCTTCACTTAACTTTCTAGAAAACCACAGTGATATTTACATTACATATGTAACAAACCTGCATGTTGTGCACATGTACCCTAAAACTTAAAGTATAATACATAAAAAAAAGAAGAAATGAAGAAATGAAATGAAGACATGTAAAACCAAAAAACCAATTACCATTAAAGAAATCAAACTAGTAATGAAAAATCTAAAAAAAAAGAAAAGAAAAGAAAACCACAGTGATACTGGTTGTGTCTAGGGACCTGGGAGAGGTTGTGTGAAATGGCAGTAGAGGCACTTTCATTTGTAATAAACTTAACAGTGGTTCTCCAGGGTTGAGAACAGGATAGTAGTCCTATTCACCCTCTTCTGCCCTAGTCCTAACTTATATTCTTAGCCTTATTATCTAGTTTTGCAGCCAATGATATTCAAATCTCCAACAATCAAGAAAGCCATCTGTTGTGAATAGAGATCATCTCATTAACTGAGCAATGAGTCCTACAAGGCAGGGATCATGACTCCTGACTTTTGGAAATTGCTGGTCCTCATCTCACAAAGAGTGTGTCCTGCATATATGTTGTAGATACCTCCCAGCTTGCATTTCCTTCAATTTGTGATACGTGTCTTTGTCTAATAAGAACCCCAAACAAGTTCTGAGGCAGACATAACACAGGGGACAACAAATACCTGTTTGTGGTATACGTCTCTTATAACCTCAATCTCTAGGTCGGAGGTAGGTTTGGAAGCTTCCTGTTGACCTATGTAATTTTCCCAGGGCCTGAGGAATTTCCACCACACTCAATGATTGTAGGGAGAGTGGACACAGGAGATTAACTGAGCGGGAAGGAGCATCACAGAACAATTTTCAGGGCTTACCATGAACTGCAATCTCTTTTGTGTCCTGGATGAGGGCATTCCCAGCAGCCACCTGGACTGTGATGGTGTCGGTTCCTTCTGCAAGGAATGTGAAGGAAATGCTGCTGTCCAAAGTGATGAGAGGCTACAAGAAGAAGTAACAATACTCATTCAGTCTTGTGTGGGATATCAACTTTATTTCCTTTCCTGAAACTCTCAGACTGTCATCCTAACTTGGAAAAGAAAAACAAACAAACAAACAAACGTTATACCGTTTCTTAAAACTGTGATTATTCTTCCAGTATCTAGGAAGAGTATTAGTATACTTGAAACACATTATAAATTATTAAATTCTAGAAATAAGGATAAGACTGGGCATCCTGGATTTTGCATGTCATTCTGCTCCTTCTCCTGGGGCAAAGTAGAAACAGCTTTTGTAACCTGTCCCTGTTGACTTTGGGAATAGGAGATCATTTCCCTTCTCCTCCAATATCTGGTGTCACTTATATTTTCATCCTATATTTCACTGGATTATGAGACCTTTCTGAGAAGTGATCACATAGTTATTTACTTCTGTATTACCCACCCTAAGCACACTGTCTTTTTTTTTTTTTTTTTTTGACAGAGTCTTGCTCTGCCGCCCAGGCTGCAGTGCAATGATGCGATCTCGGCTCACTGCAACCTCCGCCTCCTGGGTTCTAACAATTCTCCTGCCTCAACCTCCCTAGTAGCTGGGACTACAGGTGTATGCCACCACACTCAGCTAATTTTTTATATTTTAGTGGAGATGGGGTTTCACCGTGTTGCCCAGGCTGATCTTGAACTCCTGAGCTCAGGCAATCCACCCACCTCAGTCTCCCAAAGTGCTAGGATTACAGGCGTGAACCACTGCGCCCGGCCGCACATTGCCTTTCATAGAGCAGAAAATATATGTAAATTAGATGCACCATCAGATTACTGACTTTTTATATTATATGTGTGTTTCCCATTGCAAGGCATTTTTACCATTTTTAATAGGTTGGAAAATACACAAAAAAACATATTTGTGATCATTTATTAATCTTTTTCTTTCTGTTTTTCCCCCAATAATCATAACATATAGGAAGTTCTCAAGGATGAAGACAGAAATAGAATGCAGATATACCTCAGAATTCACAGAGGATTGGTTCCAGGACCGCTGTGTATACAAAAATCCATGCATACTCCAATCCCACTGTAGACCCTCCATATCTGCAGGTATTGCATTCTGCAAATGCTGTATTTTCAATCTAAGTTTGGTTGCAGATGTGGATCCTGACGATATGGAGGGCTGACTGTATTTCTTGAAAAAAAACAACCCACATATAAGTGGACCTGTACATTTCAAACCCTTGTTGTTCAAGGGTCAGCTCTAATTATATATATATATATATTTTTTTTTCCTGGAAAGAAGAATCTTGATTAAAAAGCAGATGCTTATTGGAGAGAAGAGAGTACAGATCTTCAGTCTGATGAGTCATTATTCACTGGGCATCTTAAAGTCAGTGCCCTCTCAAATTCTCTACTGTTTGGAAAGTAAGACGTAACAGTTGGAGGCTGATCTAAGGCAGCTGATAAAGAGATGTCACAGGGGCAGATGAGCAGACTCTCTCTCCTCTCTTTGTGTCAGGACGACAGCAGGATGGAGAGTAGCAATGTAGCCAGCTGCAGAAGCACAGAGCTGCCCTTTAAGAGGGGCAGGACAGTCCTTCACAACATACCCATGTATGGCTTGGATGCATGTGTACAAAACCCTGCAGAGGCTCCCAGCTGCAGCTTTCAGATGGTGTCCCTACTGTAATACTGAAATTCCTTTCTAGCTCAGACTTTTCAACTGGCCTTGAAACAATAATTTAATTTCTTCTGCTTTAAAATTCTATAGCTCTGTTTTATGACGAGGTTGATGGCTGGAGTTGGGCAGGATTACAGATACTGTCCTAAGCATCTGGCATATTTCTTTTCTATTTGGTAAATGAAAGAAGAAAGGGAGTATGGAAAGGGATATACTCCTTCCCTTAACTAAGGGCAAACCTCAGAGTTCAGGCATTCTTTCCCATACTTATGACTGGGTGATGACACACACATGGGTGTGACCTTCTGAATTAATCGATAAATGAGGTGTAAGCAGGTTCTGACATGCATATAAAATCCAAAGGGTCAATAGTGGCTGTTTATGGTCCTGTTTGGAGAAGAGAGATGAAGTCAAGCTGGGCTGAGCATAGCTCAGGGCCATGGAATAAGGGAATATCAACATGTGTGGCACAGAGTCACCATTTCTAGTATAATTAGAACAGTGACTTGAAACTCACTCTGTTACTGTTTGAATCAATATCCTTAGGCAAAGTTTGTCTGCATTCTGGCCTTTACTTCTTTATCTGTTAAATGAGTGGTTTGGGTTAGGTGATCTGTGAGGACTCAGCAATCAGAATGTTGCATTGACAAATGGATTTAGGCAAAATTTCTAGTTTCTATTGGTCAGTCCATCAGGTCTTATCTGACACAAAACCTTCAATTGGTTCATTACCTTTGCTACATTCGTTAAAAAGAAAATGAGATATCTCTAAACACCCAACAGAATGGCTAAATATATATATATAAATATATATAAATATATAAATATATATAAATATATGTAAATATATATGTATAAATATATATAAAAATACATGTATAAATATATATTATATATAATATATATCATACAATATATAATATATATCATATATTATATATAATTTATATATCATATATATTATATATATAATTTATATATCATATATTATATATAATTTATATATAAAAATATATATATAATTTATATATAAAAATATATATATAATTTATATATAAAAATATATATAAATTATATATAAATGTATATAAATATATAAATATATAAAATATATAAAATATAAATATATATAAATATATAAATATATATAAATGTATATAAATATATAAATATATAAATGTATATAAATGTATATAAATATATATAAATATATATAAATGTATATAAATATATATATAAATGTATATAAATATATATAAATATATATAAATGTATATAAACATATATAAATATATATAAATATATAAATATATATAAATGTATATAAATATATAAATATATATAAATATATATAAATGTATATAAATATATATAAATATATATAAATATATAAATATATAAATATATAAATATATAAATATATATAAATATATATAAATATATGTATAAATATATAAATATATATAAATATATGTATAAATATATAAATATATATAAATATATGTATAAATATATATAAATATATGTATAAATATATATATAAATATATGTATAAATATATATATAAATATATGTATAAATATATATATAAACATATGTATAAATATATATATAAATATATGTATAAATATATATATATAAATGATAACAAGTAATATTGAAGATGCAGGACAATTAGGACTCATATAATTTTGGTGGAAATGTAAAATGGTAGAATGATTTAGGAAAATGTTTAGTTTTATAAGAAATTGCAATAACTTTTTCCAAAGTGGTGTGACAGTGACAGGAGGCAGCCAAATGCCTAGGCAGATAGGGGCGGGTACCCAGTGAAACCCCACCTCCAAGCTAAAGACGGTTTAAAGCCTGAAAGCCAAGTTACAAGTTAAATCTTTGGACTGGATTGAAAACTTTTCTCCCTGTTTGGTGCGCTTTCTCTGATTGATCCCTATTCTTCACCTACTTTACATATACCTACCCTTTCCTAGTTGGTTTTCTACACTGTCATGCCCACCTTTGAATGGTGTCTTCACTTGATCCTTTTTTGCATATTCACAAACCAGTCAGCACACAATCCCCATCCTGTGCCTATAAAGACCCCAGACTCAGTTGGTAGAGAAGACGACGGCCTGACTTCTGGGAGGAGACAGCCTGACTTGAAGTCAGGGAGGAGATGACCTGCCCTTCTTGTCCCCTCTCCAGCTCCCCTCTCTGCTGAGAGCTGTTTTCATTGCTCAGTAAAATTCTCTGCCTTCACCATCCTTCAACCATCCATGTGACCTCATTCTTCTTGGATGCCAGACAAGAGTTCAGGACCCACCGAGTGTGGGTACCCAGAAAGACTGTCACACTGGCCCTTTACTCGCAGTGGCAGAGGGCAGCTGCCCCACATGACAAGGCAAGGGGCCAACTGAGCTGCTAACATGCCACTGTCCGCAGATGGTAGAGCTAAAGGTGCACTCTAACACCCCCTCTGGGGCTTCAGGGTTGTGAGCACCCTCACCTGGGGCTGCTGCGCTCCCCCTGAGGTGATACACCTGGTCTGGCCATGGGCCCTCCATGGAGCTTGCTCCTGTGTCAGCACCCAGAGTGTATGGCCAGATCCCACACTAACTCGCTCACATGCTCCCTCCCACAAGCATGGTGGGCCAGGTAGAGGGAACACCACTGCTGCGAGTTCAGTGAAGGGGCCAAGAAAAATCCTCCATCAGTTGTACTATATGTATATTTTATGATTTGGGAACTGCAACCCTAAGAATTTAGTCAAGAGAAAAGAAGACACAAGTATACAAACAAAAAAATAAATGTTCATAGTGGCTTATTCATAGCAGCCCAAAATAGGAAACAGCCCAGGAATTCATTAGTAGGAGATTTAGTAGGAAATAAATACTGAGATATATATAGATATAGATATAGATATATATATATATATTTTTTTCAGTGTTTGTGTGTGTATATGTGTGTGTATATAATCAGTATGGATAAATCTCCAAACCAGCAAATCTAATTTATGATGAAAAAATAGAATAGTGGTTGGTTCTGGAGACTGGACTGGAGATTGACTGAGAAGGGGGACTGGGCTGGAGATTGACTTAGAAGGGGCATGAGAGGACTTTCAGGAAGTTTGGATTACACAGGTGAATGTCTTTTCCAAAACTCAGTAAGTACACACTGTTGAATTTTGCATTCCATTGTTGATAGGATTTATACCCCCACAGGGCTAAAAGTATAAAAAAAATTCAACTACGGTTAATGATTTGCAAGCTGAATCATTTAGGACAAAGAATATAGGTGTCTTAAATTTACTTTGAAATGAATAAAGCATCAAGATAGACTAATGGATGTATGCAGAAGGATGGACAGATAGACATGTGATAGAACAAGCATAGCAAATACTAATGGTAGACTACAGGTGGTGTGTATGTTGATGTTCACTGCACAGTTCTTTCAGTTTTCCGTTTTGTTTTACTGCCTTCAGCTATTTCTCATCTTTTCCCACCTATCACCACCAGGCATTTTTCTCCCTTAATAGTTTTCTCTTTAGAGAATCTTCACTACTTCCAGCTCATCTTCTTCAGCTCTCAGTAGCATACATGGCCCTCTCTCCTTTTTCTGCCCTCTCTTAAGATTCAGCTGGTCGGTGCTGTCTTGGGCAATGGAATCTCTTTTGAGAGTGATGGAATTCTTCCTGTCCTAGCAGATTTGATCTTGTCTCCTCCATCTGGCTGTTTCCCTAGGAGATCCAGGGCCCAGCAAGGGTGCAGGGATGCAGGGCAAAGGGAATGCCATCTGAAGTAAGAGAGTATGTGCCCTCCTGCCAGCCAGTCAGGGCACTCAGCCACAGCAAACAAACTGTGCTGAATGGGAACACTTGGTCCCCAGGTGGCAAGCCACAGACTCTTGTGCTGGGAAAATGGCAGGAGCTAATTTTGTTTTCCAAATTGCTTTTGTTTCTCATCAGCTGTTATGGCAGCATGGCTGATTTCACCTTCCTTGCAAAGCTGGAACACTCAACAGGATTCTTGAGTTCTTCATCAGCCACTGATATCTGGTGCCCAATGCTAAATTAAATCAAGTATTTTAAGGTTCATCTACTCAAATATATTAGGCAAGCAGACACATTTATTAAGCCAGACCTCTGTTAATCCCAGCAAATTGGCCTTTCAGAGCCCCACAAATCCAACAGGCAGCTGATTGACTTCTCTGTCTCTGTGCTTCATCCAATCTACAGAGCCAGCCCACAGGGAGGCCCCTTAGAAAAATACCTCATGCCCTGCCTAGGCTGTGAGCTACATCCCTCCCCACAGAGAATCCCTCATGTGCGACAGGTCACATATTATCCACTGAGCCCAGCAAGAAATCGACAAAGCTCTGTGTGACTATTTAGTTATGAGATTTCCACTTGACAAATGGAACTAAGCAAGCTGCAGGGAAATCTTTGGATGCAGCCTACATCAGTTTCCCAGACACAGTAAGTCAAGTTAATATTGTACACTTTAAAATCTCTGCAACTTAAAATGCATACCTTGATAACAGCTGCCAGTCCCAAATTGGACAGACTATGCAGTCACTATGCTTGCCTTATTTAAAACCTTCAGCAGATTATATAGTAATGTGTGCAAAGTGCTCATCATATGAGGTACAAAGGCTGGATATATAATTGTGGATCTACCACGTTTAGAACTATATAAAAAATCTTAACATACAAAGAAATAAAGCAAAATACTATCTATAGCTACTAGTTTTAAACTAAAACTCAACTAAACTAGTGATATAAGATGGAACCAAATTCATGGTTCTATTCACTAGTTTAGTTTAAAACTAAACTAGTAGCTATGGATGCTATTAAAGAATAAAGCAAAGAAATAAAGCCAAATAATACAGTAAACTAGTAGTTTAAAGCTAAAGTGATAGTTATAGATTCTATTTGGCTTTATTCCTTTGTCTTTGTGTGTTTTTAAAGGAGAAAAATGACTGGTGGTAATAGGTGGGAAAAGATGATAAATAGTTGAAGGTAGTAAACCAAAACTCCCATACTTTTATGCCTATGGGATTAATGTGAAAATTCACAGGTTAAAAAAGCACTTTCCCTCAAATACAGATACACAAACATACGCACTTAAATACATCTAAAAACTCTTTGACAGTATCTGTCTAAAGTATTACTGTCCATGAATCTGGTTCTATCTTATATCATGCTGCCCTAAATCAGAATTTTTGTGACAAAAGCAAAAGCATCAATTTTTATCATTCAAAGCCATCTGTCATCTGTCTTCCTCACCTTTCAGCGTTTTCTCCAACTTCTGCCCAAATGAATCCTTTAACTTTGGCTGAATTAGTCTATCATCCCCAAAGCCTGACCTCCACACAAAAATCCCTCTCTTTCCTCTCTGCCTCAATTCTACTGCTCCTTCCATGCCAGCTTAGGCTCAACTTTGTATATGACTCACTCACTCCATGATCAACAATGTCTGCATATCCATCACTCCCCAGCCTGCCTGACTTAGCCAGTAATTTTACATTCCTATTGCATACCTGCTTTTATCTATTCTTGAATTTTAGCCTTATATTCTCAAATAGATTACATGTTTCTTGAAAGCAACAAATGGAATTTACACTGCTTTGCATTCCACACAACATGTAGCACAAACGACAGGCTCTTAAAAAAGATCCACAAAAGTACTGATGAAATTTCACATTGCCCACTGATAGATTTGTAGGCACATGAGCCTACAGTTGGATTTCAGAAATTCTTGCTCTTTCCTGTTTGCTTATAGAATCTATTTGCTTGTCAATTATTGCATATGTGCTCATTGTGCTTTCTTATTGGGGACATAATCTCCTTGAAGGTATGGAGAATGTCATATGTGTTTTTCTATCCCTAATATCAACGAGCAAAAGTCTGATTATAAAGCAGGATGCCAATTCACTCTTATCAGTAGGATGATTTAATTTAACTACTTACATAGTAACCTAGTCACACCAACACAAACACATAAAACAGCCATAAAACATCACCTTCCAAGGTTATTTCCTTAATTGTATTCTCTGTAAAAGGGGATAATTTCTATTTCATCAGTGATGTTCTGATAACAATAAAATCCCTCAGTACACAATGCGTACCAGAAATATATGCTCAAAATTAGTACTAGTTCCTTTTACAGGTCAGTTTGCTGGTCAAAGGGAACCAAACAGCTCTAAAATCACGGCACTCCCCATATATGCAGAGACATTCATTCATTTGCCAGCCAAATATAGTGCTCACTGGATCAACTACTGGGGACCATGGCCATCTTGATGTGTTTCTGGCATGGTGTTAGCAAATAGCACTGCACTGAAAATGCACCTCTTTCAAATGGACCAAGTAAACATTTTTAGAAATTAAACTGTAATCTGTGGAACCAAGTCAGGTTTTTAGCCTAAATACAAATGCTATTAATGCAAATGATGGGCACAACAGTGACTAATACTTCCAAATGCTCGGATGTGTTCTAAACACTTTCTACGCCTTTCTTTACTTAATCCTTGCAGCAATACTTGATCATAGATACTACTGTTATTACTCAGACATTACCAACAATAAAACTGAGACTCAAAGAAATTAAATGGTTTGACTTCACTAAAGGCATACAGCAAAGAAGATTCGGTCTGGACTCCAACCTAGGTTTGTCTTGTTCTGCAACCACTCCATTCTACTGCCTCTCATGTATTGTCATTCTCTTGGTTCTTTGGGAACAAAACCACTTAGTAAGACCTTTGGGACCTGGGTATTTGTGCAGCATTTCATGTTCAAGCTTTTGGATTAAAAATTCCTAACCAAGGAAATACCTCTCGTCACCATTAATTAAAAAACATAAAATTATAATGCCAGTATGTAATTTAAAAATGCCTTCTCATAATATGGCATAATATATATGAGGTAGGTAGTAGATAGATAGATAGATAGATTGATTGCTTGATAGAGAAGTGGAGAGACAGAGAGATACACAGTAGATTTCAAATAATAACTAAGTCATGTTCATATATTACATATTATAGTATCCTTGCTTTAGAGAAATCGATACAAACTCAAATTAAGTGACTCATTCAATTTAACACAGATAATTATTACAGAAGTATAAACTAGAATCCCCAATTGCTTTGTTCATTTATTTGTTTTTAGTCATATACCTATCAGACACTGCATGGCATTTCAGGTCTTAGAAACAGCACTCAAAGAAAAAAATAGAGCTGTAGAGAAACATTGTGTCTTCCATTCCTCACAGGCCCCTAAGTAAATCACTGTGTTGGTAACAGTCAAGAACTGCCCTTCTTGCACACAGAAGTTTCTTAGAAAAGATCATCATCAGGTAAATGAGCTAGAACAAGAAAGAATTCTCTGACTTGACAGCCAAACCCTCACATCTGCACAGGAGAAATGAACTTAAAATCGTCCTCTTTCTAACTTCTCCCTAAACAATTTTCTCTTTTTCCTTCACTATGTATATCTGCTGGTCTTTGAGGCACAATTTTAGATTATGTAACCTCCAGGAGATAAACACCTCTAGTAGTGCAGCTAAAGCATCTGGGACTGGGGAGAGTGCATGATAAATGGGAATTAGTAGACCCAGTTTTGAGGTCTGGCTCTGCAACTAACCAAGTGTTTGAATTTGGGATGTTCACCTCAGACAGGGAGCTTAACTTCTCAAATGTACCAAATAGGGCTTTTATTAAATGACCTATCCTTCTGTTTTCCTGGTGAAGAATAATCCCAGAAATGCAAGTGCATTAGTCATCTATACGGAGAAACTAATTTGAAAATATGAGGCACATATAATGCAAACAGAAAAGGGTTCCTTGGTCCATGAATCTTGCTCTATATTTTACCAACCCATGCTAAATATAAGTTCTAATAACATCATGAAAAGCACCCATTTATTGAGTACATAGTGTGTGCCAAGTAAATAGTATAGTTTTACTATATATTTATGCTATAAAATAGCATAGTTTTCACAACAATAAAGTTGAGATAGGCATTATTATTTCCACTTTATGGTGAGTCAATTACATCTTAGGACAGATAACTTTATCAAGCTCTCACACAACTAAGAAGTAGCAGTTCTAGAAACTTAACCCATGAAACCCTAAATCCAAGGTCCATGTTCTGTCCACTATATCGTGCTGCCTCCCTAAAAAAGACTGGGGATAAGTTATCTCCCACTTATGCAGGAGTAAGGATGGGGTGACCTTCTCTTCAGTTGTTATCCACCAGAAACTGAATATTTATTTCCCTTCTCTTTAGATATCCAGCATTTCCAAGTCTGAGGTCGTACCTTACTTAAATTATGGTTTTTAAGTTAAAGCTTTCTCTAGGATAAGCAATGCCAATCACATTATGAGTTTAAAAAAAAAAAACCAGAGTTTTCAAAACACACACACACACACACACACACACACACACACAGTCTGAGAGTTCAAAACTCCAGGGGGATTCATAGGAAGCCCCTTCACTTTGTGAATTTTATCACCAGTAGGTGACCACATACTCCCAACAAATGTTAAAGAAAATTGCCCATATGGTTATATCAGGGGAGGGGGAAAATAATTATTCTGAAATACACATCAGAGCACTACATTCTTTTTAACAAGGTCTGCTCTCAGAAGAAACTTATAAATCAGAGACTAAACTTCAGGGGTTTTATAGTCCAACTAAGCTACGGGAAGTAAAATACACAACACCAGCCCACTTTATCCTTCCATGTGGGAGAACATAGATACCTACCTACAGCCCACTCTAGCTAATCTAATCAACCTGAGGGATCAGGAGAGGGAGAACAAACAGAAACACCTGTAAATACCTGAGAACTAATCACAGGTTGATAAAAAGCTTCCCCTCCTTCCATAGCTTACCATCACATTACTAAAGACTTATTTACAGCCATTCCTTTCAAACCAGTATATCATGTCCAGCTGTGAAGAAAAAAATTACAAGGCATACTAAAGGGAAAAAACATAGAAGACACAGAGAAAGTATCAGAGTCTGATACAACAGGGATGTTGCAATGACCAGTGCAGAAATTTCAAACAAATTTAATTAATGTGCTAAAAGATTTCATGGATAAGGTAGACAGCATGCCAAAACAGATGAGCAATGTAAACAGAAAGTTGAAAATTCTAAGAAAAAAAAAGAAATGCTAGGGATCAAAAACACTGTACCTGAAATTTAAAAATGCCTTTGATGTGTTTTTAGCAGACTGAACACAGCTGAGGAAGAATCTCTGAGCTTGAGAACATCTCAACAGAAAATGCCAAAACTGAAAAGCAAAAACAACAAAAAGTAAAAAAAAAAAAAGGAAAAGAATATCCAAGAATGAGGAACAACTAAAAATGGTATAAATGCATGTAATGTGAATAACAGAAAAAGAAACAGAAAAAAATCTGAAATAATTATAACTGAGAATCATAGCAAAGTAATGTCAGACACCAAACCACAGACACTCAAAACTCAGAGAACACTGAGACAGATAAATGCTGAAAAATCTACACCTAGATGTATCATTTTCAAACTACAAAAAAAATCAAAGATTAAGAAAAAAAGTCATGAGAGAAGCTAGAAGAAATAAATACCTTACCTATAAAGGAGAAGAGATAAGAATTATATCCAACTTCTCCCCAGAAACCATGTAAGCAAGAAGAAAGTAGAGAGACATATTTAAAGGGTTGAGGGAAAAAAACACCACCAATCTAGAATTCCGTACCCTGCAAAATTATCCATCAAAAGTGAAGAAGAAAAGAATGTTTTCTCAAACAAAGAAAAACTTAAGAAACTTGTCAGTAGATCTGTTTTGCAAAAATCATTAAAGTTTCTTCAGACAGAAGGAAATATAGGTCAGAAACTTGAACCACATGAAGAAAGAAAGAACAATGAAGAAGAATAAATGAAGGCAAAATTTTTTGACCCAGCAATCCCATTACTGGGTATATACCCAAAGGATTATAAATCATTCTACTATAAACACACTTGCACATGTATGTTTATTGTGGCACTGTTCACAATAGCAAAGAGTTGGAACCAACCCAAATGCCCATCAATGGTAGACTGGATAAAGAAGATGTGGCACATATACACCATGGAATACTATGCAGCCATATAAAAGGATGAGTTCATGTCCTTTGCAGGAACATGGATGAAGCTAGAAACCATCATTCTCAGCAAACTAACACAAGAACAGAAAACCAAACACTGCATATTCTCACTCATAAGTGGGAGTTGAACAATGAGAACACATGGACATAGGGAGGGGAACATCACACACCAAGGCCTGTCAAGGAGGGGTGGGGGGCTAAGGGAGCAATAGCATTAGGAGAAGTACCTAATGTAGATGACAGGTTGATGGGTGCAGCAAACCACCATAGCATGTGTATACCTATGTAACAAACCTGGATGTTCTTCACATGTACCCCAGAACTTAAAGTATAATTAAAAAAAGAAAGAAAAGTATTATTCTCAATTGACTTAACAGAAAAAAAATTTGTTCAACATAAACATACCAACAAGGTATTTGATTATGTATACTTATGTATATATCTTATGTATGTTTACATACAAGTGAAATGAGTGACAACAGTGAGAGAAGAGGCAAGAGACAAGAATTTAGAATTATTTTTACTAAAAGCCACTCTCACTACTATTGAAGTGGTATAGTGTTATTTAAAATGGGCTTGGATTCATTGTAAGTGTATATAGCAAATTCTAGGGCAATCACTTTAAAAAGTTTTTTTTTTTTAAAGTATGAGTGATATACAAAAAAAGAAATAAAATCAATAAGGACATAGTTGATTTTAATAATGCCACCAATCAACTGGATATAACTAACATCTATAGATTACTTTATCAGACAACAGCAGAATACACATTCTTCTAAAGCCCAAATAGAACATCCACTGAACTAGACCACATCCTGGGCCATAAAACACACTTTAACAAATATGAAAGAATAGAAATCATACAATGTCGGCTCTCAGAACACAATTAAATTGAGCAATAAATAATTAACAGAAAGATAACTAGAAAGTCCCAAAATACACGGAGATTAAACAAGACACATCTAAATAACATATTAGTCAAAAAATAAATGTCAAGAGAAACTAAAAAGTATGTTCAACTAAATGAAAATTTAACAAATCTAACATTTGTGGGATGCAGCAAAAGCAGTACTTAGAAGGAAATTTATAGCATTGAGTGTATATATTAAAAAGAAGTATCTAGAATCAGTCATCTAACCTCCCATCTCAGGAAACAAGAAAAAAAAAACTCCAAGGTAAGCAGAAAAAAAGAAATAATAAAAACTAGAACAGAAATCAATGAAACTGAAAATAGGAAATCAATAGAGAAAATCAATTTTTAAAATCTGGTTCTTTGAAAATATCAATAAAGTTAATAAGCCTCTGGCCAGGCTAATTAAGAAAAAAGAGAGGGGACACAAATTACTAATATCCGAAATGAAAGAGGGGACATCACTACAAATCTTATAGATATTAAAATGGTGACAAAAGAGTATGATAAACACTTCTATGGCCACAACTTTGATAACCCAGATGAAATAGATCAATTTCTTGAAAGACACAATCTGTTAAAACTCACACAGGATGAAAAAGGTTATTTGAATAGAACTATATCTATTAAATAAATTGAATCAGTAATTAATAACTTTGCTAAAGAGAAAACACTAGGCTCAGATGGTTTTACTGGTGAATTCTACTAAACATTTAAGGGAGAAATTATGCCAATTTTCCACATCATTTTTCAGAAAATAGAAGAGGATAAAATATTTTCTAACTCATTTAATGAACCAAATACCAAAATCAACCATCAACCAAATACCAAATACCAAATGTAACCAAATATCAAAATCAGGTAAATATATTACAAGAAAGGAAAACTAAAGATCAATAATTCTCAGGAACAAAGATGCAAAAATCCTCAATAAAGCATTAGCAAATTGAATCCAATCATGTATAAAAAATTATACTACATAACCACTATGAGAATTTATCCCAAGGCTGGTTCAACATTTAAAAATCAATTAATGTAATCCATCTCATCAGCAGACTAAAGAAAAAAGAACATGATCATATTAACCTATGCAGAAAAAGCATTTAACACAATCCAACACCCATTTATAACAACTCTCAGTAAACTTAGAATAGAGGGGAAATTCCCTGAGATGATAAAGAATATCTACAAAAAACCTATAGCAAACATCATAATTAATGGTGTGAAATTAGAAGCTTTCCCACTAAGATCAGAAACAAAGCAAGGACGTTCCCTCTCACCACTTCTTTTCAACATTGTACTGGAAGTCCTGGCTAACATAATAAGACAAGAAAATAAACAAAAGTTATATTGGGAAAGAAGAAAGAAAACTATTTGTTCATAGATGATATGATTGCTTATGTAGGCATCTAAGAGAATCAATAACAACCAGCAAAAATCTCCTGGGACTAATACATAATTATAGCAAGGTTACAGGATACAAGGTTCATATATAAAAGTTGATCACTTTCCTGTATACCAGCAATGAACAAGTGTGATTTGAATTAAAAACACGATACCAAGGAGTTTAAAGATGGCTGACCAAAGGCAGCTCATACTGGTCTTCTCCACAAAGAAGAAACAAAAATAGTGACTAGACAATCACACTTTGAATAGGTCATCTAAGAAAGAATCCTGGAGTTCAACAGAGAAGTAACAGGAAGCACATAAAGCAGTGAAGGACATGGAAGCAAGGCAGCCTGCTTGGCCAGGATCGGCTAGGAGTTTGGAGAGATTCCCCAATGTGGAAAGGGACTCCCCAATATGAGAAAAGGGCAAGTGAGAGACCTCCAGAAGTCCACATCCTCACCATGGACTCCTACAACCCTAGCCACTGGAGAGCCTCTTGACCATTGTGGGCCCTGAAACTGACATAAGCAGCTCCCTGGAGACTGCAATATCCGTGCTCCAGAGAGGGAGCTCACACTGAGTTCCACACATCCCAAGTCCAAAGCAGCTGCAGCAAGGTGCCATTTTGAGAACCTAGCTCCCAACAGACTTTGCCTTGCTCTGGGGCCCAACAGCGACTACATCTCCTTATTCCTGGAGCCCTGTTGACATCCCCCACAGACAGTCACCACTGCACCTAGCTGCTGCTATGTGGACTAAGGCACAGGCCACTGGCAATGATCACACTTGCCACCAGCATCAGAGCCACTGTGCATTTATTGCACCCAGACAGAACCCCTCTCCCCACCCATAGCTGCCATTACTGTGGGCTGCTGCCGTGGGCTGGGAGGTTAGTGAAGTTTGGGCTGCTACAGTCAAGGCTAAGATATGAGTGAAGAACCAGTTGCCAATGAGGTGGCTGAAGTGCAAGTGAAATATAAGCTTCTGCCACCTAGGCTAAGATACAAGCAAAATATGTATTTCCCACCCACCTGACTATGGCTGCCACTAAAAGCAACCCTGCCCACCACTAAAAGCACCCCTGCCCTCTCCAGTAGCAGGGCAGCAGCATAACCACTCCCACTCCCCAACCTAAGCATCCCACCTGGGGTTTGGAGATCACCCTACCACTGTCTACCACAGCCAGTACCTGCACACAACACCAGGGAGCCTGAGGGTAGGACTTCTTAGCCTGGCTCTGCCTCCCCTGAAGCCAGAAGACTCAATCTGAGAGTACAAGGGTCTCGGGATCACACTGCCTAGTCTACCACAACCAGTACCTCAGCACTCCTCCCAGACACCTGAGGTTGGGCACACCACCCTGCCACTACCACCAGGTTGGGTCCACCATCCTACCACTACCACCAGAGCTGGCACCCATCTGTATTCACTAATTGTAGATATGAAGACTAAACCACTAACCCATTGCAGCCACCACTAACATCAGTGGAAACTGCTCAAGACACAGAGGGTTATCCTGCCATTGCTACTACTATCACCTACACCACACCTCCTGCCCAAGGGGCACAGAACCCACTCACCCACCTGGTGCACCACTATGACTACCAGCAAGACACCTGAAGGCCCAGGAATCAGTGCAGTTGGGCCTTCTAACACCAAGGCCAACGTACACTGCTCTGAGGCCCCTAAATAGGCATAATCAGCCCACTGCTGCTACCCTAGGACCCCAGACCCTGGCCCACCTGACATCCCAGTCCCCAGCAAAAAATTTCCATGGCCTCCACTAATAACTGCCTCCAATCCAGCAAGGGAATCACAGCTGCCACTGATTCTATTTAAGGCAAAATAAATCACACAGACACTATACTAATGCATGCACCCAGAATCAAAGCCAAAGTGCCCTATTCAACCAACACCATAAAAACATCTTCAGGAAAAAGTCCCTCCCTACAAAAGCAAATTCAAAAAACTGGAAGAAGTAACCATTATACCAGCTGCACAGATATCAATGTAAGGACACAGAAAACATTTTAAAAAGCAAGAAAAAGTGACAACTCTGAAGGAACACAATAATTCTCCAGTAACAGATCCCAATCAAACAAAACAATTATAAAATCCAAGAAAAGGAATTCAAAATATTGATTTGAAAGAAGCTCTGTGAGATAAAAAGAGATTCAAAAATGCAAGGAAAAGAAATCAGGAAAACAATTCAGGATATGAATGAGAAATTTACCAAAGAGACACTATTAAAAAAAATGAAGACAAATTCTGAACAGAAGAACCCACCAAATGAATGACAAAATACATTTGAAAGCTTTAATAGACTAAATCAAGCAGAAGAAAGAACCTCAGATCCCGAAAACAGGTTTTTGGAAATAACCCACTCAAACAAAAATGTTAAGGAAACAATTTTTAAAAATGAGCAAAGCTTATGTGCTATATGGAACATGATAAAATGAGCAAATATTCAAATTGCCGGTATGCCAGAAGATAAAAAGAAAATGAAATAATTACAAAATCAATTTAACAAAATAATTGCTGAAACTTTTCCCAAGTCTAGCAAGAGATTTAGATATCCAGATTCAGAAGGCTCCGATAGTTCCAAAAAGATGCAAAGTAAAAAGATCTTCTTTATGCCACATTATAGTCAAACTCTTAAAAGTCAAAGACAAATACAGAATTCAAAAAATAGGCAAAGGAAAACATCTAGTGACTTATAAATGAGCCCCCATTCAACCAAGAGTGGATTTACCATCAGAAATCTTACAAACCAGGAGAGAATAGGATGACATATTCAAACAGCTGAAAGGAAAATACTGTCAACCAAGAATATTATACCTAGCAAAGATATTCTTCATAAATGAAGAAGAAATGAAATATTTCCCAGACAAGCAAAGCTGAGGGAATTCATCACCACTAGATTTGCCATATTAGAAATTCTTAAGAAAATCCTGTGAAAGAGAAATAAAGAAAGAAATCAAGAAAGCAAGAGGGAAAGAGAGAAAGAGAGAGAAAGAGCAAGAAAGAAAGCAAGAAACAGAGAAAGAAAGAAGAAACAGAAGGAAAGAGAGAAAGAAAGAAAAGAGAGAAAGAAAGAAAGGGAAAGAAAGAAAGGAGGGATGGAGGGAGTGATGGAGGGCAGGGCAGGCAGGCAGACACATGAAAATATAAAAGCCACTGGTAGAACAAACAAACAAAAAAGGAAGATAAAAGATTCAAATGTTATCACTATGAAGAACAAAACAAAACCACTATGATAAACAATAAGAGAGAAAGAAAAGGGACAAAGGTATACAAAACAACCAGAAATTAATTAATGAAATGATAGAAATAGGCCCTCACATATCAATAACTTTGAAAGTAAGCAAATTAACTTTCCTCAGTAAAGTTAAAGCTAATGAAATGGATTTAAAACACACATACACACACACACACACACACACACACACACACACACACACACACACACAAAATGACCACAATATGCTGCCTACAAGGAACTCATCCCACCTGTCATGACATATACAGACTGAAAGTAAATGGATGGGAAAATACATTCCATGCAAATGAAAACTGAAAATTAGCAGGAGTAGCTATATTTATATCAAAGAAACAAACTTTAAGTAAAAAAAAATAAAAAACAAAAAATACAAAGAAGATCATTATATAATGATAAAGGGATCAATTCAGCAAGAAGATATCATAATTCTAAACATATATGCACCCAATACCCCAGCACCCAGATATACAAAGCAAATATTAGTTGATCTAAAGGGAGAGATGGAATCCAACACAATTATAGTTGGGAACTTCAACACTCCACTTTCAGTATTAGACAGATCATCTAGACGGAAAACAAAGAAACATTTCACTTAAACTGCACATTAGACCAAATGGACCTAACAGATATTTACAGAACATTTTATCCAAGAGCTAGAGAATATACATTCTTCTCATCAGCACCTGGAACATTCTCCAAGATCGACCATATGTTAGGACACAAAACAAGTCTAAACAAATTTTGTAAAGTTGAAATCATATCAAGTATCTTCTCAGACCACAATGGAATAAATCTAGAAATCAATAACAAGAGGAACTTTAGAAACTGTACAAATACATAGAAATTAAATGATATGCTTCTGAATGTTGGGTCAAGAAAGAAATTACACAGTAAATTTTAAAAATTTTGAAACAAAAAAACCCAGAAACACAACATACCACAACCTATGAGATACAGCAAAAGCAATGCTGAGAGGTACGCTTATAGCAATAATTACCTACATCAGAAAAGCAGAAGGATTTCAAATAATACAACCTGCAACTCAAGAAACTAGAAAAGCAAGAACAAATAAAACCCCAAATTAGTAGAAGATAAGAAATAATAAAGATCAGAGGAGAACTAAACAAAATAGAGACTAAAAAAATAATACAAAAGATCAATAAACCAAAAAGTGGTTTTTTTGAAAAGATAAACAAAATCAACAAACCACTTGCTGGACTAACCAAGAAAGAGTAAAGACTCAAATAAAATCAGAAATGGAAAAGGAGGCATTGCAACTGATACCACAGAAACACAAAAGATCATTAGAGACATTTATGAACAACTATATACACTAAGAAACTGAAAAACCCAGAGAAAATGGATAAATTCCTAGACACATACAACCCACCAAGACTGAATCAGGAAGAAATAGAAAGCCTGATTACAGGCCAATAACTGATAATGAGATTTAATTAGTAACAAAAAGTCTCCCAAAAAAGAAAAGTCTATGATCAGATGGCTTCACTGCTGAATTCTATCAAACTTTCAAAGATGAACTAATATCAACTCTTCACAAAGTATTCCAAAAAATTTAAGAGGAGGGAATGCTCCCTAACTCATTCTACAAGACCAGCATTACCCTGATACTCAAACCAGGCAAGAACTCAACAAAAAAAGAAAACTATGGGCCAATAGGCTCGATGAATATAGGATTGAAAATTCTCAATGAAATACTAACAAACTGAATCCAACAGCACGTCAGAAAAAAATATACATCAAGATCAACTTGAATTTATCCCAGGGATGCAAGTATAATTTAACATACACAAGCCAATAAATGTGGTACATTGCATCAATAGAGTGAATGACAAAAAACATATGATCATGTTAATAGATTCAGAAAAAGCATTTGATGAAATTAACATCGTTAATGATAAAAAGTCTCAAAAAACCAGCATAGAAGGAATGTACCTTAATGTAGTAAAGGCTATATGACAAATCCATAGTTAATATCATACTGAATCAGGAAAAGTTGAAAGCCTTTCCTTTAAAGCCTAGAACAAGAAGATAAGGATGCCCATTTTCACCACTCCTATTCAATATAGGACCGGAAGTCCTAACCAGAGTAATCAGGCAAGAGAAAAAAAAATAAAAGCCAATCTACATTTAAAAAGAAAGAGTCAAATTTTCCCTGTTGCTGATGTATATTTAGAAAACCTAGAGACTCCATGAAAAAACTCTTAAATCTGATCAACAAATTCAGTAAAGTTGCGGAATACAAAATCAACATATAAAAAACAGTAGTGTTACATACCAATTAAAACAAAAACATAAAATACCCAATACCATGTACTTTAGCACCATCAAAAATGAAATTCTTCTGTATAAATTTAACAAAATGTGTACAAGATCCATGTAGGAAAAACTACAAAACTCTGTTGAAAGACATCAAATAACAACTAAATAAACAGATATGCCATGTTCATGGATAGGAATACTTAATATTGTGAAGATGTCACTTCTTACCAATTTGATCTATAGATGCAATCCAATGCCCATCAAAATCCTAGCAAGTTAGTTTGTAGACATTGATAAAGTGATTTGAAAGTATATATGGCAAGGCAAATGACTCAAAATAGTCAACATAAAATTGAAGGAGAACAAAGTTGAAGAACTGACTCTACTCAACTTCAAGATCTATTATAAATCTACAGTGATCAAAACAGGTTGTATTGGTGAAAAAAAACAGGAAAACAGACCAATGGAACCAAATAAATAGCCCAGAAATAGACTCACATAAGTGTAATCAACTTATTTTTGGCAAAGGAGCAAAGTTAATACAATGGAGCAAAAATGGTATTTTCAAAAAATGGTGCTTGAACAACTGGATATCCACATGCCAAAAAAAATGAATCTAGGTATAAACCTTATGCCTTTAAAAAATGATCTCAAAATGGATCATAGATCTAAATGTAAAACTCAAAACTATAAAACTCCTAGAAGACAACATAGGAGAAAACATTGATGATGTTGGGTATGGAGAAGTCATTTGAGATACAACACCAATGGCATGATTCATGAAAAAAAGAACTGATAAGCTGGACTTCCTTAAAATTAAAAACTTTTGTCTACAAAAGACACTATCAAGAAGTTGAAAAGATAAGCCACAGAGTGGAAGAAAATATTTGCAGAAGACATATCTGATAAAAGATTATCCAATAATATACAAAGAATTATTAAAACTCAATAAGTAATGGAACAATCTGATTTAAAAATAGGCCACAGACCTTAATAGACAACTCACCAAAGATGTTATATAGTTGGGAAATAAGCATATGAAAAATTTCTCTAAATAATATGTCATCTGGGAAATCCAAATTTAAACAAAAATGTGATATCATTACATGGCTATTAGAATGACCAAAATCCAGAACATGACACCACCAAATGCTAGTGAGTATGTGGAGCAACAAGAACTCTCATTCATTGGTGGTGGAAATCCAAAATGGTCCAACCAGTTTGGAAGACAGTTTAGTGGTTTATTTCAAAACCAAACATATTGCTACCATAAGATCCAGAAATCATGCTCTTAGTATTTATCCAAAGTAGTCGAAAACTTATGTCCACAGAAAACTTGCCCATGAACGTTTATAGCAGCTTTATTCATTATTGCCAAAACTTAGAAGCAACCAGTATGCTCTTCAATGAGTGAATGGATAAATAAACTGTGATACATTCAGACAATGGGATATTATTCAGCACTGAAAAGAAATGAGCTATCAAGACACGAAAAGACATGGAGGAAACTTAAATGCATATTGCTTAGTGAAGGAAGCCAATATGAAAACAGTGCATACTATATGATTCCAACTATATGACATTCTGGAAAAGGCAAAACTACAGAGACAGTAAAAATATCAGTGGTTGCCAAGGATTAAGGAGGAGGCAGGTAAGAATAGGTGGAGCACAGAGCATTTTCAGGGTAGTGAAACCCTTCTTTTTGATACTATAGTGGTAGATTCATGTCATTATACATTTATCCAAACCTATGGAATCTACAAAACCAGAAATGAATCTAAAGTAAACTATGGACTTTGAGTGATAATGATGTATTAATGTAAGTTCATCTATTACAACAAATGTAACACTCTGGTGGAGGATGTTGATAATGGAGGAGGCTATACATGTGTGGAAGCAGGGGATATATGGAAAATCTCTGTACCACCTGTTGATTTTGCTGTGAACTTACAACTCCTCAAAAATGAAGTGTTCTTTATAAAACAGGAATAGAGAAGAACATTACCTCTGAGGAATTCTCAGCCAAATTGCTCCCAGCTTCTATCATACAATTGTGGTCATGCTTGACACAGGTGTTGCCATCACCATGGCTGGAAGTAGGGAGTATATGGCAAGTCCAGAGTTTGGCCTCTTTTGTTCCTTTCTTTGAGACGTGGCAACCTCAGCACCTTGCCTGAAAAGAATGCTAGCATTTCTAGAACAACTAGTAAGTATTGATAAGGATTCTTTACCTGGGTTATCTTGTTTAATTTTGGCAACCCTACATTTAGATATCTAGACAGATAGGGCTACTTAATCTCAGAGATGCTAAGTAACTTCTTTGACATTATATAACCAGGCCAAGGCCAAGATTAAAGCAAAATGGAACGAATGAAATTTTAGAAATATTGATTAGAGAAGCAAGAACATGCAGGTTTGCAGAGTTTCTCAAAGTACTCTTTCTTCCTTAGGATTATTTGAACTTTCCCTAATAAAGTAATGAACTTGGTGTAAAGAGGTATGTTTTATTCAATTTTGTGGGCTCATAGGTTTATTAAGTACCTCTTATTGCCTGCATTCTCAGTGCCCCCTAATAGACACATAAAAGCTGGAACATAGGAGCATTCAGTACAGATCTAATTTGACATCAATCAGAAAGGGCCAAACCTTTGTGCTATTGCCGAACCACCAGAAATAGGTAAGGGTCCCCAGTTGACTGGGCCACACGACTGCACTGATGTTGACCTCCTTATTTCTTATGGCAACAAATGGAACTCGGAGATGAACATGCTCCACAGGACCTAAGGAAACAGAAAAAAAAAGTCAGTGTTTATATTCTGGATGTGGTCAAACTGTATCACACCCCTAGATTCTTAACCTTAAATTCTATTCGCATCTCCTGTAAAAAAGGAAGGGTCACAAAACCATATACATTGGGAGGTGTGTATACACGCTTGAAATGAAGTACTGAATATAACAGGGAACTCAAATCAAGTTTCAGATTTTTTGAGTGGCATCTGAACTAAATTTACATCTGATAAGTCTAACCACAGATGCTTATGAACCTCTAATACAAGGACAAAGCTGATTTACTAGACACTTAGCCAATAAATGGGAAGATAAACAGCAGTCTATTTTGTTATTGATGATTAGCCTGTATTGTGATTTGGGGTCAGTGTATTGTATGGAAGGCTCTTCCATTATTCTTGATTGTTAATGGGTTTCCATCTCCTTCAACAATTGGCCATTGTGCCTCATCATCTGCAGTATACAGTGGGTGTCATTCAGAAACTGGCAAGGCTGTTTTCCAAACAGGGAAAAGTATATCTCCCTAAATCAAACTAGAAACAAATGCCAGGTTCCCAAATAATAAGAAATCTGCTTGCAGAAAGGTAACCAAGCTTCTTATTTTTTCCCTCAGAAAACTGATATAAGCAGCATGATATTCTAAACTAGCAAGTAGAAGAATATACATGAACACACCCTAGGCAATAAGTGAGGATTTTACTTTCCAAACTAAAATGAGAAGAGGACAAAGCTGATGAAACAGTGTTAATGCGGCCGGGCGCGGTGGCTCACACCTGTAATCCCAGCACTTTGGGAGGCTGAGGTGGGTGGATCACCTGAGGTAGGAGTTCAAGACCAGCCTGGCCAACATGGTGAAACCCTGTCTTCACTAAAAATACAAAAATTAGCTGGGCATGGTGGCAGCCGCTTTTAATCCCAGCTACTTGGGAGGCTGAGGCAGGAGAATCACTTGAACCCAGGAGTCAGAGGATGCAGTGAGCCAAAATCGCACCATTGCACTCCAGCCTGGGCGACAAGAGCAAAACTTCATGTTAACTAAAAAAAAAAAAAAAAAAAAAAAAAAAGTGTTAAGGTATCGGTGTTGCATCTGAGAGGTAAATAGTTTTTTAACACTGCAAGATTTTTTCTCCCTTTTTCCCTCCTTTCCTAACTCCTTCCCTTACTTTCCTTTCTATATTTCTGTCTTCCTCCCTCCTTCTTTCTCTTCTTTAATCCTTCCTACATAAACAAATCCAACTAAAATATGTAAATCTCTCCTATTATGTCAGAGCACATTTTCTTGGTTTCCACCATCATCAATTTGATAAGAACAAGTAATTGAAGAGATTTCTATACGAAGTTCTTAAGCCACAACTGTAGCAAAGACATCTCTTCAGCCTGGGGGCCTTGAATTCTTATTGGTGGAGGATTTTTCAGGCCATCTAGCCGTCCTTATTTGCTTCCCTGGTAATTCTGGAGACAAGTCAGTTCAAAGGGAAGAAAACAGATGAGTGTTTCTCATTTCAACTCTGGCACAAATGTACCCATATGATTTTTTCCTTTATCTTATGAGTCTTAATCCTACACAGACTATTACCTTGTTCTAAAAATAAGGGACAACATTTGCTCTGCCTTCCTTATATTAATAAGAACATATGAATGTGTTATGTGGTTGTTTAAAGTACCATACAATTAATGAAAGAATGTCATGATTTCTACCACTACTGCCGACCACCACCACTGCCATCACTGTTTCTGTCATTGGGTAGTAGTCCCTCTAAGGACTTCAGTGAGCATTCTCCTGAGTCTAACTGGACATATTCTGTGTCATAGGTAATTTTATGTTGAAGGGGAAAGTGTTTGGACAGTGACTGCTATTTGGGTGGGGAGACAAGCCAGGCCAGTGTATGTGTAAAGGATAAATGCTTGAGGGGGATGGATGCCCTAGTTTCTATTATGTACTTATTTCACATTGCATACCTGTATCAAAACATCTCATGTACCCCATAAATATATATACCGACTATGTACCCACAAAAATTAAAAATAAAATAAAACCGAATACTTAAAAGGAAGAGTATCTACAGTGTGAGAATGCTTTCTGCCTAAAGCGCTCTGCCTTGACCCCAAACATATGGCATCTCAAGATTTCTCTTAGCAAACACTTTCAACTTTGTCAATTCAGATACACGTCTGGTTGAAGGTTGACTTATTTTAAATAAGGAAATTTTGGTTATTATTTTTGTATGATTTGTTTGTTCATGAGGTAAAAAGGCACTAGATGTGGGAAAATAATGGATACTTTCATTGCTTTATTTACTCATTTTTAGGAGTTTACCTAATCTATGTCCCTTTATAGTTTGTGTTTTATTCATCAATGGGGAAGAGAAAGAGGCTGTGGGGCGGGGCTCCTGGCTAGTCCACATCCAAGGGGGGAGATGAAAAACTTCTTTCTCCATGCCCAGATTCAAATCTCTCATTTTTCTCCTGATAGAAAAGGGGCCCCTTTAGGGGACCCTTTTACCTTCAAAGTCACTGCTTCTCTTCTCACTGCTATCCTCCAGAAAGCATGAAGCCCATTCCCCAACACACCTCATGGGAACCCTGGGATCTTCCACAGTTAAGCAATGATGCAGCTATGGTTCATGGCCTTGAGTTTCTTCTTGGCTTTCTATCACTTGGGGGCCTTGGCTCAGTGAAAGCTGACAGTGTCAGATCCTCTGATACCCAAGAAGATAAAAGGAGACCCCCTTCTCCATAAACTCACACCAAACACAAAAAGGATGTGGCGTTCACAACTTGAAAGACCATCACTCATGGTTGCATTTATTCAGCTTCAGGACAAGCATGTTTGGTTAAAAATAATCCTAAGGAACACTACCATATAGCAGTTTTTTTAGGGCAAAGATTCTGAGCCAGGAACCCCTGGGCTTTGATGTGGAGACAAACCAAGGATCAATGAGAAGAGATGAGAGCTGAGCAGATTCAGGAAGGAACAGAGAAAAGTCCTAAATTCCTCACTGTCAAATAGTGCCCCTTTTGATAAAAATCTAATAATCTGTGCGAGATTGGTTATTTTGGGCAGCTAACAACTACTTTTGTTAGCTAATGGCCCAGGGTAAGGCCAAGAGCAGTCTCCACAATAAAAACTATCTGGAAAATGCAGCCATGATTGATTTGGAGGGAATTATAAGCACGATAAAAGTTTCAAGGAACATTTCCTCCCTCATGCACATAAGCCACAGTGTAAACCTCTTCCTTGCTGTTGTGTTTTTTGCCAGTAAGATACATTGGTTGTCATACCCTGAAGGCAAGGCCCACTCTTGGCAGAATCAGAAATGTGGGTGAGGCAAGTCCTTGGAATAGAGGAATGTGAAGTTCATTTTCCTTCTTTGTCTTCATTTTTAAATGCAGCAAAAATGTCAGGTACAAAGTTAATAGGAAGTACTTAGTAAATACTCTAATTCATCATGCACCAAGCTGGGTGATAGGCAGCATTCTGCACACTGTGCCAAAAGATAACATGGACCTGAAATTGCTGTCCTGAGGAAGGTCTGCATGTAAGTTGGCCCCAGGCTGGTATCTGGGAACATCCAGTCAACCGTTAACTGATAAGAGTGGTTCACTCTGCCTAAACTGTTCTTGAAAACAGTATGGTTTATTCCCAATGCTTTCCATTGGGAATCTGGAGTTTTGGTATATGCCAGGCAGAAGGTACCTACATGACTGGCCCCCATTAAAAACTATGGGCACTGAGTCTCTAATGAGTTTCTGTTTTAGGCAGCCTTTTTATACATGTTACAACTCATTGCTGGATAAAGGAGTGTCCTGTGTGACTTTGTGGGGAGAAAACTCATGGAAGCTTCTGCCTCGTTTCCTCTAGACTTTGCCCCCTGAGCCTTTTCCCTTTGCTGATTTTGTTTTGTACCCTTTCGCTGTAATGAATCATAGTCATGAGTGAAACTTTAGCTGAGCCCTGTGGGTATGCCTAGTGAATCACCAAACCTGGTGGTGGTCTTGGGGATACCCAACACATGCACACCTCATCCAGTTTGATTCTCACAGCCTCCCTTTTAGCTAAGCATTGAAGATAAGATATATATATATTTTTTTTTGAGACGGGGTCTCGCTCTGTCTCCCAGGCTGGAGTACAGTGGCGTGATTTTGGCTCACTGCAACCTCCGCCTCCCAGGTTCAAGCGATTCTCCTGCCTCAGCCTCCCTAGTAGCTGGGACTACAGGCTTGTGCCAAAACGCCCGGCTAATTTTGTGTATTTCTAGTAGAGACGGGTTTCACCATGTTAGCCAGGATGGTCTCGATCTCCTGAGCCTGTGATCTGCCTGCCTTGGCCTCCCAAAGTGCTGGGATTACAGGCGTGAGCCACCGCGCCCAGCCAGCAATGAAGATAAGAAATTGGAGGTTTATAAAGGCTAAGAACATTGACCAATAGTAGACATTTAACAAAGGAATGTGATCAGAATTCAAGCACAGATCTCCCTTGTTCTGAAGCCTGGGCTCATGAACACCGTGCACATCACCCACCTGGGTTTCTGACCTGGTGCTTCTGACACAGAATGGTTGTAGTTGATGTGGTGTGGTTCTCACCACTTTGCCTATTTATGGCTCATTTGTAGCAGCACCCCACTTCCCCACCAGAATGGAAACTCTGTAAGAGGAGGGCCATATCTGCATTGTTACCTCCCAGTGCCTAGCAGAGTGCCTTGCACATTTTAAGACTTCAACAAATTTTTGTTAAATTAATTAGTGAATGATTGGGTGTTTTTTGTGTGTTTACTATTACAAAAGCCCCACGAGGCAAGGTAGCAGTCAGAATTAAGCCATTTTAAAATTGGAGTTCAGGAGATTGAGAAATGAAATCATTTATCTCATGGCCATGTAGCCTGGCATTTTTAGGGACATGACTGAGCTACATAATCCAGGTCTCCTCTCACACACATCCCTTACCACTTTTGGTCCCTTTACCGGCATTGTGACTGGAGAGCCAGGAGACTAGCTAGCTTACTGTTTGCCAGGGACCTCTTAAGGTGTAGGTTGTTTATACAATAGAGTTGATGCCATCACTGAGTTGTTAATAGGAGGGTGCTCCTTGTTTTCACTTAGACTCTTTCAGAACTTATGATTTTCACTATATGTAGCATATTACCTGGAAACTCTTGTGGGGTATGTAAGTAAGAACCATGGAAGTCCTTAGACCCACGAATATCACTGATACACATGTGGGAAACCAATCCCAGCCCCAAGACAACATTTCCTCGACCCGACATCCTAAAATCACAATATTAAAGTTTCAGTTTACATGCATCAAATTCTAGAATAGAAAATACACAAAATGCATCCAGCACAAATGAAATATTTTGGAACACCAACTGTTCTTTTGGTTTGTGCCAAGCAACAGCCAATAGCAATGAAATAGATTCTAGCACAACAAAATATTTTTGGAGAGTTCTTAGAATTGTCAAAACAGAATGAACTTGCAGTAACCTTGTATGTAAAAATTAATTTTGTGTGTGTGTTTAGTTCTAAATTAAAAATATCTAAACATGTTTCTTTAATCCTTCTCTGGCTCTTACAACACAAATAACAGTTGACTTTGATTTGTGCAGTCTTCATTCATAATAGATTGAGAATGAGCCTGAGACTATCAACCAGAAGGCTTGTTTCTATCTTTTTCATTTTGAGGATTCTCCAAAAGGAAGAGAGGAGACTTTTACCTGAATGTGTGTGCACGCACACATTTATATCAGAGCAGAGTGGTGCTGAAAAGGACGGCCCAGGTGGTAATATGTTATCCGAACTTCAAAATAATCAATCTATTTCAGTACCATAATACTCAGAAACACAGATGAGTACATATCTCCACCATTTGGTTTGGGTAATTGTAGTAGTCACACTGAACCTGGGCTCAGCTCTGAATTTTAGGAAGTCTGAACAGAGCAAGTTGCCAACTGGGAACAAAGGGAAAACGGGGATGGTGCCTCCTACTTACAAACCACATGCAGGAAGAGGACAGCTGTGTCTGAGCCAAGGTTGTTCTCTGCATAGGCTGTCACCTGGAAGATCCCCGCACTCTTATACACGTGCTTGATGCCGTCCTCGATGGGGCTGAAGTTTGCGTAGGACACAGCAATCCCATCCCCAAAGTCAAGCTGGATGTTTGTCCTTTGTAGATCACCCTGCAAGATGGCATAGCAGACGGGTCAATTTACTTGGTCCAGCCAGACTCCTATCTGATGCTTCCTCCTGTTGCTTCAGCATCAACCTCTGATGACCCATAGTCTTTCCCAAAGGGCTGAAACACCTGCAACACAATGATCACACTCCTATCTGATCCGCAGGGTACTACGGGCAGGCACTATGGACCTATTGTCCTCATCGCCCAAGCTCGGGGCAAGCTGAGTTGGTATGACACTGACAATAGTGGGCAAGGTAGACCCTCTGTAAAGTTCTGAAGGGAAGCCAAGGGTTTCACTGACTCCCTCACATACATAGTTTAATTCTCCTTTTGTGTCATAATAATAATTGCAATCATAGTAGCAGCTAATAGTTACCGAGGTTTTTTTTATTAGTGCCAAGCAAGCAGTCTCCTCATAATTCCATATTATAGAAAGTATTTTTGTCCCCATTTGTCTGGGGACAAAAATAAGTAGTTAGACCAAAGTTTCATAGTGAGTACAGGAAGACCAGGTTCCAGACCCAGTCTGGTTTCAATAATAATGCCCTCAGTTGCCATGCTATAGTTGTAATTGCTCCTATTTTGAGTATTTGCTATGTTACCAGAATTATGCTACTCACTTAATACATATTATATAACACCATCTGCAAAACAACAGCAGGGATAGGATGGCGATTCCCATTCTACAGATGAATACTGCATACCACCCCAAATTATACCCTTGTTCTCTTATCCTTGGACTTCCCTAAATCTACTTAAGCCTCCTCTTCCCTGAAGCCTTTTCAGATTGTCCCAGTTCACAGATATCTCTGTCTCTTGGAAAGAGCTCTCTGTGTACTACCTGGTAACATGATGCCAATGATTCAGGTGAATGCATCTCACCACCCCAAGCCAACACTTAGCTTCTTAAGGGTCTATGCTGAACCTCATTCTTCTTGGTCCCCACCCCCCCACCCCACCATTATATTGGGCCAACACTTTGGATCAACACAATGCACTTGACCACAAAACAAAGATCCTATATGAAGAATAGCATTGCTCTGTTCATATATGAAGATGAGTGATAGAATAAAGAGAGAAATACATCATTTTGGAATTATGAGCCAATCCTTCTGCCCAGTGAATGTGCACTGATCACAGTTTCACTTTCCATTTCTTCCCCCATGGCAGCCCAGATGTGAATGAAATATTGATAGGTACTCTCTTGCCCCCCACACAATGTCAACTATCCTTGAGTTTATGAATATAAATTAAAGTGGAAATGAACTGGAGGCAATTCAAACGGATAAGATCGTGGCTCTTCACACCCATTCAAGAGAAGGTTTTTATAGCTGTGGTCCTGGAAACTCCCTAGTGGAAATGTGATAATGACCTCCTCTGAATCTTAAAGTCCTTTAATTCCAGCACCTGCTGTGAGTGAAGGCTGAGAAATCTGTCAACCCAGGATAAGGAACCTTCACCACCCTGTCCAGTGTGCTCCTGACTTTTAAAGGTTTCTGAAGTGCTCATACTTGTGAAAAAAAATGACTCCTGGCCTGTTTTGCCTTCTTTCCAAGATCTCAAGAGCACAGAGCAATTTGCATATAAATTTAGAGGGCTGTGTCAATCAAGCAAGCCTTCCTGCTCTACCACTCAGCAAAGAGTGCCTAAAATGCCCTAGTATAGGAAGCAATTCAACAGCTTATAAAAGAAGCAGACAACAGAGATATTCCCATACTGGAATCAATGTATGTAGTCTGATTTTACTGCCCAGATTTCAGAAGACACTAAAAAAGTGAAAGAATACAGCATCTAGCTGATAGAAAAGCAACTAATACAACATTCTTTATAAAGATAACTTTAAAGGATTTCAATAATCTTCCCCATCCTCATGCTCTTACTTTTAAGGCCTTGTGAAAGCTTTGTGGGCTTTTCTAATCAGTGGGATTAAGGGTCAGAATAAAGCAAAAGAGGCTCCTAAAAGCAACAGATAAAATTCACATTTCCTTCCTCTGGCCAAGTTTACAGTTTATGGTCTTATGGTAATAAATATTCCTCAGCAAAGCAGACTTTAATGGAGACCCTGAAGAATATATCCAGATCTGCATGCTCCAGAGGCAAGTGGGCTCCCACTGCGGACTGGGTCTTTATTGTGGGATAAAGGGAGGAGGGTCAGTAAATACCCTAAGCCCTCTTTCACCCTTGTCTGTCTTCTTTCCAGAAATTTCAGCTTCTCACCATTGACTTTGGTGCAGGGGTCTGTGGGAATGTAAGATCTTCTTCTTCCCTTCTGGGAATGGTCTGGTTGGGAGTTCTGACCTCAGAGACCCAGTTGAGCACCTACCTCCTCCATGAGGATGATGAAAGTTGCATTGTGCCCCTGCTCTGCCACCAGCCGCCCATCGGTCGTCACCACATGGAGGCCCCGAGGGGCTTTTCCAGGGCACATCTGGGCCTTGGCGGTGTACTTCTCCCTTAGCCCATCTGTGCAGTTGTTGGACACAATCCGCCGATACCTAAGTAGAATTGACAATTGATAGTGGTTTGTGTTGATTGTGTTGTTGTTGCTGTTGTATGTGTGTGTGTGTGTGTTATAAAGGGAATGTAAGAGAGCAAGAGCAAAACAGGTGCTTCACACAGCGGCCCCTGGAAACCAAGTCTCAAAAAGACAGTCATTTACGAAGCTGAACAAATGCTGAGGACCTGCTATCCCTCCATCTTGGTAAGAGTAGCTCCTTAAACGTTATTATTGATCCTACCTGGTGAGCCACAGATTGGATCAGTGTCTAAACCAGACAAGGAAAATCAATGTCTGACTCACACAACAAAAGAGGAGGCAGACTCATTGGACTCAGGAAATGGGAAAAGCAGGTGCTTCTACTTGTGAGGGACAGACCTGTTTCTATCTCCCAGAGGCCATCTCCAGCTTTCTCTGTACCAGAAAGCAGGTAGAACATCAGACTTTTTCTAACTCTGATTAATCAGGAGGCTGATTCCTATCTTCCCTATTCCTCCAGGGCATCATTCCTTCCCCTAATGCCTAATAGCCCTTTCTGTGGAGCCACTGGGCTGTTTCAGAGCACATTTTTTTTCTCCTTGCTAATATTTCATTTCCCACTCAGCATAAACTCCAGATTAGAAGCACAGATTTGAAACTCCTATTCAATCTCACTATCCCACTATGTAAAATTATCTTATAGAGGAGGTCGGCATGGGAAAATCACCTGACAAAGCACTATGACCTTCTGTGACAAGGACATCATTATGTACAATGACACCATGTCATCTTCCTTGCCCACCAACCCCAGCATATGAAGTCAAGCCAAGAGCTTTCCTACAACCCTGATCTGCATGATGGGCATATTTCCAGGCACATGACCATCTATAAGGCTGCACTGAAAAAACAAATGTTCTGGTAAAAAACCACATGAAAGAAACACACCACCACTATGACCATCACCACCATCATCACCAGCAGCATTATTATCACCATCATCATCACCATTACATGCCCATTACATTTTGTCTTCTTTCACTCACTATGTCAAGAATAATTAACAAATCCATCTATGTTGCCTTCCTATGGTGGTTTCAAAAACAGAGAAATTTATAACTCTTTTTGAAAGATATTAGTCTTCCATCATACCTGACATTTTCCCTGGGTACCCCCTGCCACCCCACTGCTGAACTATACCTCCATTCAGGGATCCCAGGGGATATTAAGCTAATGTTGTATGTCATTACTGTCTCAGATCAAATTATGATATATTTTCTTGCATATATACATCTTTTTTGTCAACTGAGCTTATAATGGGTCTAAAGTTATTCTGGTTAACATAGCACCACTTGTCCATATGGTAGGCAATATGGTAGCGCACCTTGTGGCTACTGAGCACTTGAAATATCATTAGTGTGACAGTTGAAATGATAATATTTTGGAAATTTTGGGTTAAAGAAAACATTATTAAAATTAATATCACCTTATTTTTTACATTTTTAATGTGGCTACTAGAAAATCTGAAATTACATATATGCCTCATATTATAGTTAATTTGGTCATCACTGGTCTAGACAGTCAAGATTTGTAATCAATTTATACTTTCTCAGGATGCATAGTTACAAGACACTCAGTTTTTACTGATGATAGGTATTTCAGTGGGTACCATGTCCTAACACAAACTTGATATCATCTACTCTTCTTTTTCAGCCTCAATTGGCCATTAACTCAAGCTGGTTGATGATTTTGTAAACATAAGCCAACATTTACACAATCTGGAGGTATTGGTAGACATCTGTAGCATATTTGTTTTCTTTTTTTTTAATTGCCATTCCTTTTCATTCTCCTGAATTATTTTGTTAGCTATTTGGGATTTTGGCATAACTAAGTTGCTTAAAATGTGGTCTACCTACACATGTCACATGATCCTATGAAATGCTTTAATTCAATTCTTTTATAATTCTGTTTTAACCTGCAATCACATTCAGCTTAGGCCCTGACTGGGAAATTGGTGGCCCAGCTAATAACTTGTGCGCATAATACTCCCTTTCCTCAAACTTCCTGGCACTTTATTCTCTGACACCACAATCTCTTTAACTTCATGCTGTTGGATCTGCAATTTGAATGCCTTAAGTCCCTAAACTAGACTCCTACAATTAAATAACAGCAAAGATCCTTGAGCCTTAGCTCAGGCTCCAGGAATAGCCCTCCCAGAACTAAATAGTTGGCATGCATTTCAGAGTATCTCAGACCAGTCAGCACTTCTTTTTCATCATATTTTTTCCTTTGTTGACATCAGTTAGGTAGATAGTACTCAACCTATCTACATCTACCTAACTGATTATGTTACAACTAGCTATGACAAAAGCATCAAGAAGATGAATAACTTGACTGAGATGACAGAAGATCCATTGGGAGAGTTAAGACTGGCATCCAGAACAACTCTGGTCCAGAGACCAGCAATATCGACATCACATCGGAGCTCACAGAAAGGAAAAATTTCCCCACCACCCCAGATCTCCCAAATCAGAAGCTGCATTTTAAAAAGATCCCCAGATGATTGATAGGCACATTAACATTTGAGAGGTGCTGTCTTAGACCACCCATCCACTTGTGAAATCCGTTCTTGGTTATAGAGGCAGCAAAGGAAAGGGCAAGACAACAAATCTTCAAGAAAATGTTTTTCAAGCATGCGAAAGAGTAACTAATACATGAACAAAGAGATAAACACACACGTCATTTGAGAATTCCTGAAAGGGATCCTTGACATTTTTATTCCAGGAATTCCTAGAATGGAACTTTTGAATTTTCATTTTAAGTTTTCAGCATCAGTGTCACAGAGTTTCAGTTCATCTTTCACTAGAGAGTAGTGTAATATCTGCACATCACTTGTATGAATTTAATTCACTTGAGTGTCAAGGAATAAGACTACATGACCTTCCAGAAGAGAAGGATTAACCAAAACAGTAACTATGGTCTATCATAAGCAAATATTCAAAGTTATTGAAATCTGGTTGATCAGAAATCTCTTCTGATGCTCCCCAAATAGATACTCTCAGCTAAAGAACTCCTCACTTCCCTTCAAATGCCATTTGTTATAAACAGACTCCATCTTCACTCCATTGTATTCAATAGCAATGCATTTCCTTTGGTCCTAGTTTAGAGAAACAGGAAAACAGGGAGCTGAGTTCCTGTAGGTGTTTTACTTACCCAGTGCTGTTAAGGTAGCTTTGACCAAGGCTGCAGTCCTTTGATGGGGATGCTGGATTGTACCAGAAAGCTGGGACACACTGGCTCTCCCCATGTCTCTCATACCCATAGTCACTGTCAGGAAAATGAATATTGCATAGTAGTATATATGTACAAACGCTAAAATAACCGCAGGCACACACAAACATATACATGTCCCTATTGCCATCCAGAAAGTCATAACACATTGTTTTAAATATCCCCAGTGAGGGTAAATATTCATATTTTGAAAATGAACTTTTAGCTTTATAAATAATTCCAAATCATTTGGAGTCCAGTCAACAGAACAAAATAGCAACTTAGCAAATAGAAATTCTAGGTTTAAAAAGGTATTGATATAAATAATGTGGCAGGTACATTGGCTTGGGAGTAAATGCGGAGGATGCTGTTAAAAATACATTTTAAGTCACAGTAGAATTATTGAAATAAGTACATGACAACAAAGACAATGACTCACCCTCTCTGAAACAAGTATATACATGTCCATTCACATGGACACATAGAGTCATTCAAACTTTTCCTGATGAGATAAAACAAAGGCCCCTATTTCCCTAAAAATAAAATAAAACTACACTGTAGCTCTTTTTGTGTGTTTCTTTAAAATCCTAGCCATAATAAAATGAAGAAAGAAAGTCCGCTACTATTTCTTTCCCCTCTTCTCCCTGATGCAAAATGGGAAAGTAACAGAGCAGTGTAGAAAAGGAGGTCCCCTATCTGAAGTCCAAACAGTGCTTCCCTACTTCTTGGAGTTTCAGAAGACTCCTGGGTGTGTAAATGTCAAAGTAGAAGAACAATAAAGTAGGTAGAAGGTATTATTGCTCTTGTAGCCAACCAGAGATCATTGAGGGTAGCTTCACTTGGCTGAATTCATGTTTCTAAGTCAAGCATCTTAGGGTTTTCTGAAACCCACCGATGGGGCAAAATAAACTGAACATATAAATATTAATCCATTAAGTGTTAATAAAACATGAAGCAGCAGAAAAGAAGTTGCTTTCTCAGAACCCACAACTCCTTTCTTTTTCTGCTTCCTGTATATTCTTTGAGCCAAGATTTTGTGGAAGTCCAATGAAAACAGAGGCAAATTTTCTGTGTGTATATCTACAACAGGAATGAAGGGGAGAGGGGACTAAAAATTTAAATTTAATTCCACATCTATTTACAACTCACTATGTGCTCTGCCCTGTAAAATAATAATAATAATAAAAAACTTAAAAAGGTGTGATAATCCGTGTCCTCAAAGGTTTTTCAGTCTTTGGGGGAGAGAGATACAGCATACCCCAAACATGACTAAAGAACAGAATAAAACCATATGCAACACAGCACTAAACAGTAGAGCTAAGAAGAACCAATTGATTAATGAGATCGTACACAATATCTTCCGAGTCTGACCCCACCCCACCTTCTTACCTATCTTCTCATCAAACTCTTAACTGAACACTTCTAGCCAGCCTTTTCAACCCTCTTTATCTTTCTATATGTAATCCCTCAGGCTTGAAGCATTCCACTTTTTTCTATGTTTGGTAGTTTCCTACTTATCCTTCTTTAATATCTAGGTCATAGAAGGCCATCACTGCTTCCCCAGACAAAATCTCTGGGGTCATAACCTGTTGGTAACTATAAGTGGAAGCTACAAAAGAGCAGGGATAATTTTCAGTTTTTGTTTGTTTGTTTGTTTTTGGCCAATATGAATTTAGAACTGTACCTAGGACATTTCAGGCATTAAATATTTATTGGGTAAATGAATTCCAATTACATTAGAAAGCAGTTGCAGCTGGGCACAGTGGTTCACACCTGTAATCCCAGTACTTTGGGAGGCCGAGACGGGTGGATCATCTGAGGTCAGGAGTTTGAGACCAGCCTGGCCAACATGGTGAAACCCCGTCTCTACTAAAAATACACAAAAATTCACCAGGCATGGTGGCAGGAGCTTGTAATCCCAGCTACTTGGGAGGCTTGGAAGGAGAATCGCTTGAACCCAGGAGGTGGAAGTTACAGTGAACCAAGACCGCACCACTGCACTCCAGCCTGGGCAACAAGAGCGAAACTCCGTCTCAAAAGAAAAAAAAAATTATCCCATTGCATTACATGATTGCATTACATCTATCTCTGCAGGAAGACTGTGGGCCCATAACTGATGCTACAATGTGGACTGCAGAGAGTAGCCCCAAGTGCCCAACAGATTCCTGTGGAGTTAATGTGACAAGAATCATGGATTTCTACATAGAAAGGTGGAACTTGAGATCAGTCTTATATTGGCATGTTTAAATGAAGCTGGAAGGAAGGAAGGAGAAACAGACACTGCTGCCAAGTAAATGTTTTGGTCAAGGCTTCTGATTAACTACTGGAGATCTCAGTCTGACAGTTCGTATGGACTCAGTGTTGTGCCAGCTTGTAGTAGCCCATGAGAGCTCACAGTTAACATCTCAGAAATTTTGCAAGCTAATTAATGGTTGTTAAAGCCACTATTAAAAATGAAACTGTATGAAATTTCAATTACATAAATTATATTACAAAGATAATACTTAAAGCATACATTCTTGATTGCTATATTTTATTATTATATATAATATATATTATATAAAAATATTCTATCATTCTATTGTCCATGCTATTGAGGTGCTTTACATCCATGTATCTGCATGGTGGGAATATTATATAATGTTGTGGTACTAGCTATCTCTCCCCAGTTCTGCGTTCACTCATGTCAGGTTGGTAGTTTGAAATCTGCCATGATGGGAATATGTATGATGATCAGCAGATACCATTAATCAGGGAGTATTAATTTGTTAGTTCCCAGAGAGCCAGCAGTTAAATATTTACAAGTACACCACTGGATCTCTTATTTCTCTTTTTTTTTTTTTTTTCCTCTCTGAGACAGAGTCTCACTCTGTCACCCAGGCTGAAGTGCAGGGACGCGATCTCAGATCACTGAAACCTCCGCCTCCCAGGTTCAAGTGATTCTCCTGCCTCAGCCTCCAGAGTACCTGGGATTACAGGCACCCACCACTATGCCCGGTTAATTTTTGTATTTTTAGTAGAGACGGGGTTTTGCCGTTTGGCCAGGCTGGTCTCAAACTCCTGACCTCAAGTGATCTGCCCACCTCAGCCTCCCAAAGTACTGGGATTATAGGCGTGAGCCCATGTTCCTGGCCTGAATTACTTATTTCTAAGCATTTTTTATCTGTGGAAACATTGGGCTGTGGTGTATCCTTACTACTTATCAAAAATTCTCCAGTTGTTTTCTTAGGTAAATCTATTGAATGTCCCATTAACCCTAGGGATTACTGGTAATCTATGAAGGAAGGGTGCTCTCTCTCAAGCAATTTTAAGAATGAAAGAAACATCTTAATGGTCTTTGCTAAATATAACCGTGTTTAGCAGTTCTGTTCAGCTCTGCTACCTGTCAGCAATGCAGTAATTTTAAAAGGTGCACCAGGCATGTTGCTTTGCCCCAAAGAGTAAAAGAATTTCATTAATATTTAACAACACTAGTGGAAACTGGCTGCCTCCAAGCTGTGGACTTCTTCATTAATTTCTCCTAAATGTATATTAAAATATCTCATACAGCTCAATCTCCTTCCCAGCTCCGAAGTCTGCATGATTTAGAAAAACAAGCAGCTCCAGCTGTTTCTCCAGCTTCCTGGGGAAAGGCATTTTTCTGTTGAATTGTGAGGTTTGGACAGAATGCACCAGAAAGTTTGATTTGCCTCGGGGAAGTCTACTGCTGCGGATTCTGCAAACACACACACATTTTCCTTCAAGAAATAAGTCACCTCTATGTCTTTCTCAACTATAACAGCTTTAGAAGTTCTAAAACTTTTTCATTTCCGGGAACCTGCATGTTTTCCAAATCCCATCCAGGGAAAAGGCTTAGATTCTAAAGGAGGGATAGCCAGGACAGTTTAGAAATAATAATAATAATAATAATAATAATAATAAACCTCTGCATGCCAAAATAGGAAGGGATACTTTTATTCTTGGATCCAGTCTCCTAAGTTGGTAGACTGGAAAAGAAAAGCAAAAAGAGGAGAAATGACTTTGCCAAAGATTGTACACAGCTGACAGTGGCAGAGGTGATAATGGAGACTCCTGATCCCTGTTCAGCATGAGTCCAATCCCATAGGGCACCCACTGGCTCATTAAGGAGGGCCCTAGTCCCCAGGAATGACATTCTGAGACTCTTGGAGCTAACCAAGAAGTCATGGTCTCTTCCAGACAAGCTGCAGGGGCTCTCAGACCACTCATAGCCATATCACAGCCTCCCTGATTCCCATTTCTCCATCCTCCCATCTGCCAGTTGAGATTCCAGTACTAGTGATCTACAGGCACCCTGTTCCACTTCAGCAGGCAGGATAGCATGGTAGGTTTGGGATTAGGCAAATAGAGGTTCTTGGTAGGCATGGAGTGAGCACTCAACAAACACAAGCAGGCCCAACAGCAACAAAAACAATGGATTAATCATTAACATCATCATTTAGCTAAGACATAAGCCCAAATACAGTCTCAAAGAAAAATTACAATTATATCCCAACTATTTCAGAAAATGCTTGGAAAATCCAACAATCATTCCTCAAATATTTCTCCTAATCTAATGTTTTCTTTAGGTTTATGTTTTCTTAGTCTGTTATTTATTTCTTTGAAGTACTGCCTATTTTCCTTTTCTTCCTCAGCAGGAAGTCTACATAGTCCCACCACTACCTCCTGCAGGAAGCCTTCCATGATTACTTCAGTTCAGTGATCTTTTTGTTCTCTTTCTTTTGTGTATCTATAGCACATACAGTCAGAACCAGTGCTGTTCAATAGAACTTTCTATGATAAGAGAAATATTTTATATTAAGCTAATATGGTAGCCCCTAACTAGTGCAATGAAGGAATAACATTTTTTATTTCATTTTAACTCAAATAACCACATGTAACTATGATAGCTTTGGACCATAAAATTCAGCATTTAATTATACTCATTATTTTCTGCTATGCCTTCTTTTAGTGCAATAACTCTTTTGTATATTTTATAAAGTTTGTATATTTTGTAAATAACAATGTTGTTTATTGTCTTGTTTATCCTCTGACTTGTCCACTGCGGAAACACATCCTTGCTTGTGCTCCATAGGCAGAGTACTCAAGCTTACTCTGGGGAACCACTAGATTAATGTACTTCGGATACATCTGAATGTATGTGCTGTGACACCCCCAAATCTCCTCCCCTGTCTTCTACATCACCACTCAATAAACTTGCTTTGTGGATGTAGTGCCATATGGGACATGGAGGTAGCCAGTAATACATACTAAGACTCAGGACTCTGAAGTCAGAATAATATTATCCTGAGTGAATTACTTAACATCTCTGTGTTCCATTCCTTTATCTGTAAAATGTCTGTAATAGCAGACTCTCCTTCTGGGAGTCCATTGAGAAGATTAAGATAATTCATCTCACAGATGTGGTAAAACATCTGCTTACATAGTAGGGGCTCAGTAAAGTTTTTGTCGAGTGAGAAGTTAGATGAATGAGTGAAAGAAAAGAACTCCTGGGCATAATAATCTCTGGTTCAACCTCGTTTCTCACTGAACAAGTGAATTCAGGTCTCCTGGAGGGCTACTCCCTCTCAAGAGCCCTCGTGTGACTTTAGAGGAGCCCCCTCTTGCACCTTTTCTGACTGCCTGCTGGTCTCTAACAACCTTTACTCTCAATAAGGATTTGTTCCTGGTCCTTCTCCAGCGCCATGATGGAGGTTGCTGCAAAGTGGCTCTCTAGGGTTCGCTTGAGGCTGGTGGATTTATGAGGCTCTTATGCTGAAACATCAATCTTTATGCAGAATTCATACTTATTACTGATACTCGCTCTGGAGAAAGTTGTGGAAGTGAATGTTTTGCTACAAATAAATGTTCTGAGAATCTAGAAAACCTCCTCTTTTCTTGCAAAAGAGGGACAGAGACAGAAAATATCTTCCCTCTGTGAATCCAGGTTGCATTCCTCAATTCTTCCACCAAAGTGAAGACTTTAATTCATCCTTCCCAGTCTTTACTCTTCCCTCCCAAACTGACTGAACTAGGTGATACCCTCTCTCTGCTGTCTCTGAGGCTTGAACTTTTCCTAGATCAATCAAATGAACTTGCCCTGATTTGGCCTAGGGAAACATCTAAATGGACTGTGCATGATAATCACTGGTACTAACTGTACTGGGTATTTCAGATGCCTTAGCTAATAATACTTCCTGCTAGAGAGGACCATTGAGAAGGGGACAAGGCTATACGCCATATGCTGATTTCTAGCATTAGCATTAAAGACCAGCAAACAGACAAACTGTATTTGTTGGAAAAACTGTATCTTTTAACAAATCACTATGCTTATTGAAGTTAACTTAAAAACAAGAAGACAATTTCAAATATTCAGTCTCATTGTCCCCCCAAAAATCACTGTAAATAATTCAGAAATTTCAGTAATCAAAAACAACTTCTCCCCTACTCAGTAGTAGTAAAAAAAAACTTTATAGGTCGTGTGAGTTTTTTTTTTGTTTGTGTTCTGAGATTATGACCACAAACTGAGCATCTGGCCTTGTCTACTTCTCTACTTTACTCAAGTGGTTCTCTATATTCTTTTTAATATGAGGTGTGATTGGCTATAAAAATGCAAACATACACCACATTATATATCAAAAAAAATTCTATAAAATATTTTTGGAGACCATACACCTATTATGATTCTAGTACCAATGGTCAAAACTACTTCATTGGAAATTGTTTTAGTGTTGAGGAAACATTCTACCTTATATTTCATCAACAGCAGTAAACCCAAGTCCTTGGGGATGAGTTTTAATTTTAGAGTAAGTAAACTTGGAAACTTTATTTTTTTCTGAAGCAAAATGAATCTAAAATAATAAAGACTTGTTTGATTTCTTGAGAAATGGCAGGGTGTAGAGGAGAGAATGTGGAATTTAACTAAATCTGCACTTGAACCCCAGCTCATTCTCTCCCAGGGATGTAACCTTGATCAAGTAACCTATATCCAAGATGTTTCTTCTCATTAAAAGGCAATAATAAAGATCCTGACATTACAGCGTCTTGGATCCACATGGTACCTCTACCAGTGCAAGTATGAGAACCACAGAAGGCCGTGTAAAGGCTCCCCCTCGCCTCTCCCACCGTGCTTTACTTATAGATGGATTCTGACAGCACTCCCTAAAGAAGGGTTCAGAAATACTTTGAGCAATGCCACCAGTACTGAAGTAAATGGATCAGACCCCAAGATCCTACTCTGAAAACAGTGCTTATTTGGATGTATAAGCTTTGGTTTACTTCCAAAAATACCATAGGGACCACTTAACCCTAGGGTGTAAGAATAACAACAGCATCAACAGCAGCAGCAATAGCTAGCCTATGTTGTATTTCTATGTTATACATCAGTAGGATAAATGCCTTATCTATATTAATGATGTATATTAATATATGAATTCATTTATTCTTCCTTAGGACCCAATGCGGTAGATGTCATGTATTTTTATTTTGCAGCTATAGAGATGAAGTCACAAAGATTAAGAAAACTTGCCAAGGTCAAAAACTGTGACTATCAGTGCTAGAATTTTTGCCCAGACCAGTAAATGTTAATGGAATTACTGATGAGAAAATATTTTACAGTTCTTATTTCTTCTCACTTGTGATGCTACCCAACAATGGGTGAGGGTCTATTATGGCACACAGAGACACAGGAGAATATGTATCATGACAAATTCAAAGACAGTGTGCCTCAATGGAGTTAGTCTGCAGAAGGACACAAGGAAGCCTAAAATTAATATTCTGAATATTCAGGTTGACATCAATATGTCACAAGCCATAATTTTGAGTGGCCTACTGCACTCATTGCTGTGACTATTTTTGCTTAATTGTGATTAATAATTGAAAATATTTTTCACAATGTGAAAATATACTTTGCTGCCAAGGGCTCAAAATGGTCACAGAAAGGACTCTGCTAGTCAAACTTAAATTACACTTAGTATATCTCATTTTCATGAATTTCACTGAAGCCATGCTTTCCTAGGTATGAGTTTAAGGATAAAGAACAGGTGGAGAGCAGAGTCACTCCTCTGGCTTCCAGTTATATTCCTAGCAGAAAGTGGGAAACAAAGGATAGTTTCTAGTACAAATCAAGCTAAAAAACCAGCTGGATGAAATGAGGCTGGAAGAAGTGAGGCTGCCATTCAGGGGCAGCTGCTCTGTGCCCACTTGGACTTACTTTGACTATCTGATGCCAGAGAAGCCCAAATGCAGCTCCATCATTGCCCTGCCCCTCCCAAGTTTAGAGGCCAATGCCCAAGCCCTTAGTTTTGTCTTTTAACAAAGACAAAGCTGAGATGGGCTACCAAAATAATCAAATTGAACTTTAGCTTTTTATTGTGATGCAGGGGAAGAATTCATCCAGCTGGGATCGGAGTGCTATGTACCCATTCCCAGAATTGGGGAGATTTTTGACCCTCCTAAAAGGAACAATGTTCAGAAACATGCTACAACTCTTTATTGAATGTTTACAGCGGGCCAGGCGCTGTGGATGCAGAAACAAGGAAAGTCTAAAACTCCTGCATTCCCAGCACTTACATTCTACTGGAGAGATAGGTGATAGTGGAACAATCAAAAACATGTTCATTTTGTACGGCAATTAATACTAAGGAGATAATAAAACAGGGATATACTAGACTGTGCCAGGGTATAGGTGAGATTAGGTGGTCTCAGAAGGCATTTCTGAGAAGCTGATATTTTTGCTGAGACATGAGTGACTCAAAGGTGCCGGCCATACTAAGATTTGGAAGAAATTCTTGCATTTTCTGCTCCCTCTGCTAGGAATGAGCCAGGATTAATAAAGGTGCAGGAGGTGGTAATGCGGTTGCAATACAGTGAATGAGGTAAGAACAGTAAGGAATTTTGACATAAAGGTAATTGCAGGGCTAAATCACCTACAATGGAGGAAACTAAGGAAAGAAGATTAGATTTTAAGTGAGGGGGAAGATATTGGAGTATTCTAAGTGTAGTAGTGATAAGATATGGTTTGAGTTTTTAAAATACCATCTCGGTTGCTGTGAGGAGAATGAATTTTAAGTGACAAGGGTGGATGTGGAGAGAGTTCGATTCCTGGAGTGATACAAACAGCTGAGAGATGGAAAGAAGTGATTTGACTTAGAATGTGTTTTGAGGGTAGAAACTGCAAGGACTTGCAGATGGCCTGGATCTGACAGTGAAAGAAAAGGAGAAACCAAACCCTTCTGGCAACTGAGTGGATAGCTGTGTGTTTTATTGAAATTAGAAAAACTGGGCAAGGGACTCCTTCCAATGAAGGGGATTCAAGAAAAGCTTTGCTTTGGCTGCCTTAAGTTTGATAACCCTGATAGTGAATCAAGAGGAGATGAATGCTGAGTAGACAGCCAGACACATATGTGTCCAACCAAGAGAAGGGGGAGGCCAGGGCCAGAGGTAAATATTTGGAAATTTGGGAGTAATTGTCTATAGGTGAGATTTGAATTTCATTAAGTGAGATTTAAGGTTGTTCTCCATTGCTGTTATTAGGGGGAGAAAAAGGAAACAAGAGAGAGGTCACGTAGAAGAGCACAGTGAGAGTGCATGTGGCTGGAGGCAACAGCAAGGCAGTAGCTCTCTAACCTCTGTCAATGCCCAGCACAACTTCTCCAGTAGTTTCCAATACAGCTGCTCAGTGTAGATGAGAAGAAGCCCCCTGAGAGATGCTGCTCTGATAGATCAGTGACTCTCTCTGTGAAAATGCCTCAGCCTGTCCTCCTTCCAGGAATGCAGACTTCCCATCTGGCCCAGTAACTGGGATGGATGGGCCCACAGGCCAGCAGATACACCTCCTATCTCTGCGTCATGCTTCCTCTCCTAACTTCATCTTCACCCCACCCCACCCCACAGACAGGTGAAGACCTGGTTGGAATTGGTAATGAAATGCCAAACAACTCACCACTCGAAGTCCCAATTGGCACAGACACAGGGTTCTGAGACCACTGATCCTGAGTGGTCTCGGCCCAGGGCACACTGAGCTCCTGGCTTACGTTTCTTGAATATTTTCCTTTCTCCCATGACACAAGGCTCTCCCTTAGAGAGAAATTCCATAGTGTGAGAGACAGAAAAACAAAAAGGTGGTGAAATAAACCAGTTGTCAACAAGAAGCATTAGCCTGTTCATTCTCATTTAGGTACTTTATGTAGCAGTCTCATTCTCAGTAATGATCCAGGAGTTTCAAGAATAAAAGTGCTAATCTTTCACTACCACATAAAAGGAACATTATGGAAGGTGGGCCCACTTCTACCCTCCACCCACCCAAGCCAGTGATGTCTACATCATCCCGTTTCTGCTCCACCTCCATAGAGAATGTAAGGACTCCAGGCATCTTTGCAGACCACCAGGTACATTTGCCCAAATGGCTTCAGTAGCAATTCTAGTGGAAAGGAGCCCATTTATGGCACATTTTTCACATGGTCTTCAGAGGGAAATTGAAGTTGACCCAAAATGTTCCTTCTCTATGATAAACGACCATGCCCAAATCTTAATTCCCAGTCAAGAACAAAGAAAGGAGAAGTTGATACAAATTACAAGGACCCAGTGGTTCTGGAGCAGAAGTCTGCCTATTTCTCACAGCAGTAAATATCTACCATTGCTAGACCTACCCACCCTGACACCATTTCTCAGTGGACCTGTTCCCAGTGCTCTGGGTCCCTTATTTCAGGCTAGTCTGAGAAATGCTCTCGCCCTCCACATTGGCAGATAAAATGAGCAACTCTTGGAGGCCTTCTAGCTGTAAAAAGCTCATTTCTCCATGGATAGAGCTAAAACCCCAGGTTATCATCAACACCTTTCCCCCAGGCAGCTCAGTGACCTCAATTAGTAGATAGGATCCCAGGGTGCGAGATAGTTCCTAAATATCATCTGGCCCTACTGGACCTGAGTGTGTTTCACCCTTTTCTCCAAATCCACACCCACATCCTCAGATGACCCACTACCTTCCTCCCCTAAATAGGAAGGCTCAGATAAGACCCAGTCGGACTTGCACTAGCTCCTCCTCCTCAAAGCCAGCACTCCAACTCCCTGGGGTGTGTACCTGATTGAGCAGGTGCCAGGTCTGATAGTCCTCCTTGGTGCAATGCCGGCTGAAGATAGATTTGTAGTCCACTTTCACCAATTGCCATTCGGAGCGGAGGCTGAAGTGGCCAAAAACTCTAAGTGTTTAGGGGAGGAGTGGGAGACACAAGGGGAGAAAGTCCCATAGTCAGTCACTAATGCACAGAAACTAGGAAGGAGATAGAGATTCACTGCAGCCTGGACTTTAGTTATTCTTCCAAAGTGAGTTCCTTGAGGGCCATTAAGGAGAAAGTCCACTATCCATACAATTCAATCAACTGGCATGTCATTCACAGTGGGTTTTAAATCAACCATTTTTTAAATTGCAAAAGTAATATATGCCTATTACAGGAAGCATTTAAAATATAAAAAGCCCAGTAAAGAAAAAAAATTGGGACCGGTAGTCCCAAACTCAACACCCATATAAAACCCCTGTTCAGATTTAGATACACAGCCTTCCCATTTCTCCTTAATGCAAGCACTGGCATTTTGCCTACCCATGTCCATGGACAGGGACTCAGTTTCCTCATCTGTAAAGTGGATTGTAAGTATATGTGTTGGGGTAGAAGGAATGAATTTGCTAATTTAAAGTACAACTTTGCCAACTGCAAAGTCCTAGTTGAATTTAAGTGTTAGTTGAAATTCCATTGTTTAACGCACATGAATACCTACCTACCCTCCCTCCTCCTTCCTTAAAAAGAAAAAAGAATCACAGCAGACTCATAAAAGGAACTCATATTTATGTATAGTAAAGAAGCACACCATCTGTGACTTAGATAATCAATACTGACCTTTTCAAAGCCCAGCAGTTGATTGCCCTATAAATATGAATGATCAATTGTTTCTAGAAAAATGGAAAAAAAAAAAAGACTGATCATCCATACTCTACTCGGGTGGCGTGTCTTGCAATTACAATGCAAGACATCTATCATAGTGATGTAAAGGGGAGACCGATCATGCTGCGAACTTAAAACAACTGAGGTCTTTCAAGGAATTGGATGGCTTCCATTTCAGCAAGACTTAATCACACTACCAGCCCTGGATTCTCCTCTGCCCAAGTTCAGATACTGTTATGGTGACACCTACAAGATTAACTCTCTTCCTGGGTCATTTTCTTATGCTCTCTAAAAGATGAGGATGCTTATGGGAAAGGTAGAGACTGACAAAACTTGTGAAATGAGGAAGAATATAGAGTTGCTTTTGTGGATCATCCAATTTACAATACATCTCAGGATCAATTTTGAATGTGCTTCAGATAAAAGTTAAATAAAACCTTTAAGAGGCTTATCTAAAAGAAAATTAAGCAGACTTTGAAAGAGAGACAGGATCTCTCCTTTAGTAAAACTACATGGGTTTTGTGTGGATCTAAGCTCAGCATGGGGTAGGAGAAACTCTGAGCCTAGAATACCCAACATATGCAGCTGACACTGTGGAGCAAAGCAAACCTAACTCCCTCTCCCTGGGTTCTCTCTGTTCTCTTGTAGTCTTGGTAAATCCAGTGGTTTCCAAATCCAATTCATCAATGCCAGGTCATCCACTAAGGTATTTCCATTTCTTAGCTCTAAATTCATTTTACATAGCGGTCAGTCCATTTTAAATCTTTAACAAAACAGCTCTCTCTTATCAAACATTTTTGCTTGTTTGAAGAGAGGACAGTTAAACTGATAAGCCTCATCAAGGGAAAACGAAACAAACAAACAAAAACAGTGGGAGGAGACCTTGATGGATATCTTTTTTTTCTCTATCCAGCCTTCAAAACTCTCGCATTCAGATACCACTTCCAGCAGTAAGTCTTCCCTGATTGGAAGACTTACTAGTGCAGGATGTTAATGATGCTAAACCATATATTTCTGTTGACTCCACATAGTTCAAATTTACTTCCTGGATCACAAAAAACGTCATGTCAGATTAATCACATTCCTTTCTATTAAAAGGTTACTAGGCAGACAGAAGAGGAAAATGTGAAGCACATGATTTACCTGGATACCAGCATGGCATTTGAACAGGGTCTGTCATAGGAATCTTGACAAAAAGATTGAGAAAATATGAGCCAGGTGCTTGGTAAAATTATGTGGCTGAACAGTACCTAATGAAGACATTAAAATCAACCAAGAGGGAGGTGTGAGTAGTCCGCTGCAAGGTTCTGTTGTCTGCTCTTTCTTGTTCATCATTTTTATTAACGACTTGAAGACATGAAAATAATGGTCATCATTGGAAATTGAATTTTTTGATGACATAAAGCTGGAGGAAGCCCTCAATATGCTCGATGGCAGAAGCAAGACTCAATAAGGTCGTGACAGACTAAAGAGACAGGCTTAATTTAATAAGGTGTGATGTCACCTAGAGAAATGTTAGCTAGATCCTCTCCATGGTAATTACATAAGTACCAGATAAAAGAAATGGGGCTTGGTACTTTTCAGGTTTAATAGTAATAATAATAGCAGCTTAAGAGTTTCCACACACAATGTGAACACTTCAGGGAGACATAAAATATTTAACGTGATCTTGAAATGCATTAACAGAATTATATGTATTGTCTAGAACCAAAGAGGCAATAACCTGTTTTTTTCTACATTAACCAGATCACCAGGAAAATTGTGGTTGCTTTTGACTGTTACCATTCAAGAAGGATATAGACTGAGTGTTTGAATCTACAGCACATGTTTGGGCTTTGGTAGTGGTGGTGAAGTATGAATCTGCTTAAATTTTAAACAAACAAAAAGGTGCTTAATGGCACATAAGTACTCATCTATAAATAAAAATCACATATATTTTATCAGATTATTCAAAGGGGTTCATAGTTCCTAAAGTTTAAGGACCACTGAAGAAGAGAGTGACTAAGACGGTACACTGCATTGAATGGTAACCTGCAATAAGATATGACCACTTCCTATTCCCTGGAGCTATGAATGTGACCTTATGTGGGAAAAGTATCTTTGCACTTATAAATCAAGGGTCTTGAGTTGAGATCATCTTGGATTATCAGGGTGGGCTCTAAATCCAATGACAAGTATCATTATAAAAGACACAAAGATGAGTAGCATGCAGTGAGGAGAAGGCCATGTGAAGACAGAAGCCAAAATTGGAGTTATGCAGCCCAAGCCAAAGAACACCTGGAACTTCAGGAAGATGGAAGAAGCAAAGAATGAATTCTCCCCTAGAGCCCCAGGGGAGTAGAGGCCTGCTGACCTTTTGATTGTGGACTCTAAACTCCAGAACTACAAGAGAATAAATGTCTGTTCTTTTAAGCCACTAAATTTGTTACAACAGCCACAGGAAACTAATACAGGTGGCAATATGATCCAAGACCACTTTCATCTACCCAAACTGCAGTGTAAGAACTCAGGCTAGTTAACCTGGACATGACTTAGGATTCCTAAGTGCAGTGAGGGAAGAGCAGCAGGTTGATATTCTAGGGAGCTCTCTTGCATGAAAAAATAAAAGTGTGGAAGTTTATAAAATGTGAGAGAACTTTCTTTTCTGTTTTTTTTGAAACAGAGTTTCACTCTTGTTGCCCATGCTGGAGTGCAATGGTGCAATCTTGGCTCACTGTAACCTCCACCTCCCTGGTCCGAGCAATTCTCCTGCCTCAGCCTACCCAGTAGCTGGGATTACAGGCATGCATCACCACACTCAGCTAATTTTGTACTTTTTTAATAGAGACAGTGTTTCTCCATGTTGGTCAGGCTAGTCTCGAACTCCTGACCTCAGGTGATCTGCCTGCCTCAGCCTCCCAAAGTGCTGGGATTACAGGCGTGAGCGACCACACCTGGCCTGTGAGGGAACTTTCTAACAGACAAAGGTTCTAACAACAGGAACAAGAGATGCTCAAAAGTTAGTAAGCATAGAAATTCAAGCTCAGGCTTGATCTATGGAGCAGCATGCAAGCATCATCCATGTGTACAGCCTAATTGACTCCGAGCCTCAAAGAATGTCCATGTTGTTGGTCTTTCCAACTCTTTGAGATATCCATTACTGATCTCAGAGTGCTCATTTCAGGACAGAACACAAGAATAGGTGCTCAGTCAGGACTTACAGACTTGTTCGATTGTTCTGTTTTGCAATCCTCACAGGTACATTCCTTTCATGTGCATTTCTTTGGCTTCTTTCCCAGATTTTCTTATATTGTGTTTCCCAGGTCTTTCCCCATACTGTAAACTGATACACTAATATGTTCACTCAGGAGTGTGCTAGTTTCCTCTCCCGGGAGGTCACTTTCGTGTATCAGATGCAAAATTTTAATCACTTAAACACTGGTAGGATTATGAGCTTTGCTCATTTTCTCAATGGGCCCCAAATAAGATCAGTGGGGTAAAATCCCCTAGCAACTTTCAGACGTTAATGTATTCCACATCGATCCACCCATTGTCAGCTTAGGGAAGAGCAAAGTTCACTGTGGTCCCTTTCCTATGGGGCATACATGACTCAGACACATGGTCACTTTTGTATAGACCCAGCTTCCCTAATTCTGTTCAATATCACATTAATTCATTGCTCTTCTGATTAAAGCTTATGGAAGCTGAAGAAATGACAGAAACATAGCAAAATAAGCAGGGAATGAAATTAAGAACTAATTCAAATTCAAATATTTTTCTTCTCTTTTCATGAATACCCAAGGAGCAGATGTTAAAATTTACAACAAGATCTGTGGAAGTAAGACACCAACAGAGAAATTGAAGTGGGCATCATCATAAACCATGTCCATCACTTTGGAGTGATGAACACTGAGAAGGTCCTCTTGATTCTGAATTAGGAAAAGAGAAAGCCCAGACCGCTTCTAATTGATAATAATAATTTTGAAAATAATCAAGTTCCAGTAAAAGTTTCTCATCTGCCAGAAATACTCCTCTTAAGTTAAGGAGAGCCTGTTACCAGCAAAATAGGTACAGCACACTTCTCATATGTGTAGTACTTTTACAGGGGGAACAAAGTGGTTCATGTATCAATAGAATATTAAAGCCCAAGAGATAGCTAGGATGGAAGAACCAAAGGCATGGAGCATCATTAAAAGGATACTATAATTCTCAAATCGGGCAATACTTATTTCAAAAAGTCCTCTGTGATTCCTCTGGCAACACTGAGCTCTTTCTTCAGAAGCTCAAATGGTCCTGTTATCTCTAGACCAGAGGTTCTCCAATGTCTACATCAGAATCACCTACAGGGTTGTTAAACATAGAATGTCTCACTCCCAGAGTTTCTTATTAGTACATTTGAGGTACCTAAGTATTTGAATTTCTTATAAGTTCCAGGTGATGCTGATGTTGCTGGCCCCAGGACCGTATTTTGAGAACAACTTACCCAGACCATCAATCTAGAATTTCAGAAATTTCCTGTATCTTTGGTGAAATTTTTGTCAACTAATTAAAAAGCTTCTTAAGCCTGGGGATACTTTTAGTACTTCTCTGTATCCTACGGAACCTATCAACAATAGTTGCTTGAAAAAGAATGGCTAATTGATCATTGAATGCCAACAGAAAAAAAACAAGGCAATTCTAGAGCGTGAAATTTTATTCTCAGGTCTTTGGCAAAGAGAAACGAATTCTTAGTATGGCCAAACTCACTGTTATTAAATCCCACTTCCTTGCAATTACCAAGATAAACTATTTTGACAGCCTTTTTCAGAAACCCATTGCTAGCCCCCTTTTGAACTCAAATCATATTTTCACCAACATAATCAAACCCCCAACATGTGAGATAATGTGGGTGAAAATTTTGAAAATCACAATAGACAACAAATGTTTATTACCATCATCATCATTTTTACTGTTGGAATCCTCATAGACTCACCCAAGGACTTTCTCATCAAGGACTTTCAATAGGCTTGGCTCAAAATCCTTTTATCAAGGTACGTACTAACTTCATATGCTGGGACTTTCTTTTTTTATTTGATATCTTCCTAGTGAGCCTTGGAGAAAGTGAACACCTCATATATAAATATAGATGACCACCTGGAAACAGGTAGCCTACCCTTTGGTTTCCTGAGGAAGTTGCTCCCAACCACAGGAACAAAATAAATGAATTCTCTATGCTATTTCTCACTATATAGATTTTCAGGAAAAAAAATCAATTAAAATTTATAACTCCCATTTTTCTCTTTCCTTTTACCTTGCCACTTGGATTTTTCATGAGAGTATTTGACAACCACTCAAGATTCACCTTCTTCTTGGACTCTACAAACTTAAGAGGCCATCTCTGTCTTTTTCTAAAACTCCTCTGATTCTAAATGCCTACACTGCTAACATGACTCTGGTTACAGGTGGTCTTCCTGTGCTCTTGAATTGTTGTTAACATATGGGTGGTCTGGGCATGGTCGCAAGAGTACTGGGCAGGGAAATAGAAGACTTGGCTTTTCCTAGACATGGTCTGCCATAAAATTAAGTAGGTGACCTTGAGCAAATCACTTCATCTCTCAAGGACTTATCTTTTTAATAAAAGATTGTTTGAAATCAGTGACATGTGTTCAAAGAATGAGTTGCAGAAATAGCCTACAGGGAATGTGGCCCTTTTGAGACCATTTCTAAGAGTTTATTTTCTTTCAATCCCCATGTCTACCTCAAAGTACACCTCAATGTCTACATCAAAGCTATCCATCTCCTGGTAACCCTATACACAAAGGATTTATCTATTACAGTCATTCATCTTTGTCTGCACTGGTACTTCTTTCATATAACAGATGCTTAATAAATACTTCTGGGTTGATTAATGATAGAATTAATCTAACAAAATCATTCACTTCTTCCAAAATTGAGGTAATAGCTTCATCTGCCCTTATTTCTGGGTCAAAGAATGTGGCTGAGTTGTGTATCATTTGGAATATAGAAGGACAGAAACAATCTCAGGCAAGTAATTGCAGCAAATGCTCTGTCCCTTGTCACCCTGGACTGTGCTAGGATTTCCACAAACAAATATGATTTGCTGGGACCCTAAATAACCCACCTCCTTTAATCCACCATTCAGGCCTGAGTAAGCCTTTCAGGAAGGGGAGTAATTAATTTGAGGGAGGGAGGCGGTTCACAAAAATAAAAGACCTCATTAGAATTCTATACACAGAGAGGGTTAGCTACTCATTAATTAAATGATTTCAAAGGGGATCTCTGTATATAATTGCTATAATTTAGGTGGAAAGAATGCCACACTAAATGTAATTAGAGGACTAGGCTCTGTAAAGATGTTTTCCTCTTTATAGGAGAGCAGCCCTGGGTTACTTGACTCTCGCCTGCCTAGTCATTTGATTCTTTTGTAGCCTCCCAATTATGCCAACTTTTATGCATAGTTATGAAAGCTGAGAGAAGTTTCAAGAAGAGAATGGTTGACCACAATCCTTCAAGAAAGAATCAGAATTTGTTCCTAGGAAGCCACTAAAAAACGTCGAAAAGGAAGAACAAACAGTGCTTTGGGAGTTATATTAGTGGACTTCACTGCAGGCTGACTATTGAGTGCATCTTTGATCAAACTCAACTAAGATAATATTGTTGAGTTTGATTTGCCATTGACTCACAACTGGGACGTCCTTCTTTTCTGTCCTCAGAGACTCCAGTGCCTGCAACTCGAGTTCTTCTAACCACCAACTGTCCCATTTCCATCTGCCGGAATAACATCTTCAGAAACAGAGCAGGGTGAAGCCGACTCTGCCAGCCCCTTCCTGAGTTTCTTCTTTCTGTTACTGCCTTGACTGGACTGTCAGTCTTCAGGCTAGAAGCCTCTGCATCAAGAGACGCAGGCTTCAACATGCTTTTCCTCTGCTTGGGATGGCTTACCCCACACCTTGTCTTGTCCAACTCCTACTCATTCTGTAAGCCTTAGGTCAAAATACAGGTAGTAGGTTTTGATTGGAGGATAAAAGGGGCAGGAGAAAAGCTTTTCAAATCTAAATATTTTCCAGAGACCATCCTTATTTCCTCTTTAAGAAACAAAATGATTCATAAAGAACTCACGGTTTTGTTTCCAAATGTATGAGGTTTCTTCCTTTTTCTTTTCAAAGGCATACAAATTTATTAATGTGAGTATGGGCATGGAAGTCATATAGAATATAAAAAACTGAAGTTTTTTATTCTTTGTTTTCATCACCATCATTTTATTTAAAATCTCTAATTTAATTGCAAATATTTAAAGAGAATGTGGTTTCAATGATAATCAGCTCTTTGAAAGTAGTCTAGACATTGTATTTGGCTCAGTGTATGGTCAACATGTTGAAATATATTAAATGTTTAGGAACAGGGCCGCACAGCAGGAGGTGAGTGGCTAGGGAGCGAGCATTACTGCCTGAACTCTGTCTCCTGTCAGGTCAGCTGTGGTATTGGATTCTCACAGGAGCATGAACCCTACTATGAACTGTACATGCAAAGGATCTAGGTTGTGCATTCCTTATGAGAATCTAACTAATGCCTGATGATCTGAGGTGGAACAGTTTCTTCCCGAAATCAACACCCCCCACCTGCACTCTCACCCATGGAAAACTGTCTTCCACGAAACCAGTCCCTGGTTCCCAAAAGGTTGGGGACTGCTGCTTTAAATCAAGCTTTCTAATAATGTTATTCAATATTCAAAATCATACTAACCTTTGGACTACTTGGTCTATTGGTTTCTAAGTGAGGTTTATCAAAATGTTTTCCTACGATTGCAAACCTTTCATTTCTCCTTGCATGTTTTATAGTCTTTATATTATATAACCACAAAACTGTACAGGTTTTGAGATTATTCTATTTTCTTGGTAGGTTATTCCTTTTACTTGTAATTCAAATACTACCTTTCTATTATGTCCTCTCTGATCTTTCCTCCTTGCTTCTTTTCCTTCCTCAGAAGAAAATAAAATCACTCTCCTCTGAATTTCTTAGCATTTTATCTGTATTTTGGGTATGACCCACAGCACTTCCAAAATGTATCAAAAATCATAGCATATGTACATAAGTGTCTTATTCTCTTTGCTAGATTTTAACTTCTTAGAACTTTGCAACTCACATAAGTTGTGCCTTATGCATCACAGGTGCTTGTCACATATTTATTGTCTGAGTGGCTGTAGAATAAAGTGCTTAAGCACAAAAGTGTTCATATTAGATGGCCCAGATGAGAGCCCCAATCCTGGAACTACAGAGGGTTCCTTACACACTTTAAACTTACTTTCCTCATGTGCAAAATGAGGATAATAGCAGTATCTAACACGATTTTGAGTTGTATTTTATAGTGATTGCTATAAATTAACAAATTAATAATTTTAAACAATTATTAGTATGGTTATATATTATGATTATTTACTTTGTCTTTGCTGGATGTCTAAGAACTTTGTGGGCAGACAGTGTGCCTTATGCTTTTATATCCCCATGATCCATACCCATAAGACTTTGCAAACAGTAGATCAGCAGATCTCAGTCAAATAACAATAATAATTAATATTACTAGGCCAGGCACAGTGGCTCACGCCTGAAATCCCAGCACTTTGGGAGGCCGAGGTGGGCAGATCATGAGGTCAGGAGTTCAAGACTATCCTGACCAATATGGTGAAACCCCGTCCCGTCTCTACCAAAAATACAAAAATTAGCTTGGCGTGGTGGCACGCACCTGTAATCCCAGCCACTCAGGAGGCTAAAGCAGGAGAACTGCTTAAACCCGGGAGGCAGAGGTTGCAGTGAGCTGAGATCTGCACTCCAGCCGAGGTGACAGAGCGAGACTCCGTCTCAAAAATAATAATAACAATTAATATTACTAATATTAGTGAAAAATTATTGAACACTGAGGGTATGCTAACAACTATGCATGGATCATCTCATTTTATTCGTTACTCCCATTTAACAGATGAGGAAACTGAGGTTCAGAAAAGTTAAATAACTCATCTGACAAGGTTACACAGCAAGTAAATGATGAAGCCAGGGGTCAAATTTAGGCATTTGCAGCAACCATTCTAAAACAATTCTCAGCAATGTGTGTTTTCAGCAAGGCTGTTACTCTTTTTTAAGTCCTTCATGACTCATTAGCAATCATTTAACTGCACAGTTTGGCACTGAGGTATGGGCAATGGGATGCTCTCACCTCCAGCTCCTAATAGCCTGTTTGCATAAAAGGCAGAAATGCCTTGAAATATATAAAACTGAAAGTACAGTTGGAGGAAAAAAGGAGAAATCTGCAGAGAAGAGGTTATCTAGAAAGTTCCAATTATGACCCTATTTGTCTCAAAGGCTAAAGCATCTACTGCATGAAGAATTATGTAGTTGACTCTGAGCTATGAGTCTATTGGCTTAGCCTCCAGTTGGGAATCCCTGAGGCATACAAAAGAACAAACAGAATTATAAAGTTTCAGTGCTGGAGGGGTCTTTATGGATGAGCTTCTGACCAACCTTTTCACATGCTAGCTGGGGAAACTAAGGCCTGCTCAAGGACACAAAGATCTGGAACCCAAGTCTCTTGACAGCCAGCTCTTTCTTCCAAGCTGACTGCTCTTCATGGGAAACTTTCAGCTTGCAGAGTCATGGTGTGCCATATGTGACCGCAGCACCATGAAAACTTGAGGAATGCAGAGTAGAGAAGTGATTCACATCCAGGACTGCAGTTAACTAGGAAAGGCTTCAGCCAAGACTTACTTTCCAGATTTCACTGCCTTTTCTCCCAGGCTCCTGCGCCTAAAGGGTGCTCTGCATTTTCCAAACTCCAGCCTGCCATTCTGTAACTACAGATGTGCACTACCAGTTTCTTCTAAGACAGAGGATCTTTGATGTGCTAAGACGTGGCATTCCCCTGCACAGCCTTTCCTCTCACTTTATTGGATCAAATGAATCATCAGAATGACAGGGACAAAGATGAAATGAGCCTACTCCTATCCAGAGACAGCTTAACTATGCTGCTCATTGAGCCACTTGCGTGGGTGAAAGTCAGAAATACTAGGGCGCTAGAGTCTAAAATGGGTTTCATGGGTAGCCAGCAAGCTGAGGGCAGGCAAAGACCCTCAATTTACAAATAAAGAACCCCTGCTAGAAGTGAGGGAAGAAGAGAAATTCTCACATTGGTCCAGGGGTTACCCTACATTCATATGTAGATAAATGAACTGTAATCAACTGCTCTCCAGTGACCCACTCTGGCTACATACAACTTCTCCCTATTGACACACTGGATTTATTTCTCATTCCTCTAAGCAAATAGTTAAACGTGCTGTGGATTCCGGTGAGTCATACACCATCTCCTCTACCACCTCCATCCAGGACTCAGAATTAGCCATTGCTAGGTAACCACAAATCCCGACTCAATCCTTTCACCCAGCTTCAACTCCTTTTACTGGCTGGATGTCATTAATTTGAGAGCAAATTATTACAAACCTGGAAAACAGTTCTAAAATGCCTGCAGATTTATGATGAAGTCATTTCACAAAAGGTCACAGGCAACCCTGCTATAATTAAATCTTTCATTAATTTTTAAAATACACAATAACTTACAAATGCAGCATAAATTAACCAGATGACCTTGAAGAAATTAGAGAACTGTTTCAGCAGAAGCCACTATTTAGCAATTTCCTGAAATTTTATTTTACAAGTAGAATTTGTCTATTTCCCATTCTTACCTCTTATTGGGTTCTAGTAGTATGTTTATTTGAAATGATTTAGTATTAATTTCATCAGGGCATTGGTTAGCACTGGGAAGTGATGGTACACAGTTGAGGCTCTTTCTTCCTCCAGATCACAACCTCAAAGGGAGAGTAAGAGTGACCCACATCATCATCAGGATAAACTCAAATGCAGCCCCTCCCTTTCATTATCTGGGAGATGATTTTTTAAAATGTCATTTTAAATTTATCATTTTGATAAATGATTTCCCTTTTTCTCATTATAAAAATAATGCACTCTCATCATGAAAAATTTGAAAACTAAAAAAATCTGTAGATAAGAAAATAAAAGCCTCACTGGAGGTAATGCTTTTAATATTCTGTGATGTTCCTTTGATTCATTGGCATGTTATTCTTTCTCAGGCTAGGCAAAAAGCAAAAATCAAACTGAAGCCAGGGTTAGAATCTTTGGAAGTTAGAGGTACCCTGAAGCCCTTAAGCCTTAGCACTATCTATCTCCCCCAATTTTTTTTCTCTCTTTTACTCAGTTACACACACCACCACCACCAGCAGCAGCAGCACCACCACCACCATTTAAAAAGCTCAGAATTGGATTATAGAACTGATTCCATGAATGTCAGAGCTGAAATAAACCTCCTTCAAAATTGATCTTTCCTCTACTGAGGATGGAAGTGGCTTTTAAAATATAAACTTCTTAACAGTGACCCTGACTATTTTGTTTATGCCCTAGCCCAGCTTCTAGAACTCTTAAAACAGTGCCTGCCTTGTAGTAAGCTATCGATACGTATTGTTGAGTAAAGAAATAATAAATGTTCTTGTAATAGCAACACTTGATTCATGTGGACTCCCGAATCCTCTTTTAAGTGTTCCTATAAGAGTTCAGTTCTCTCTGAAAGGCCTGGCTCCCCATGCCTCCTTTTTCCTCTGCCTCCAAAAGCCCTCCTCCTTTCCCTCCCTCCATGAAGGAAGCTGCTGAGGACAGATTTCAAATCAAAGTAGAAAGAGCATAGTTGTGGCAAGGCCAGACATCAGCAGACAACAGCTGTTGGTCTCCAGAAATTCAGGCCACATTCTTGGCTATTGGTGTGTGTCCATGCCACCTGATTGTTTTCCCATTAGGATGTAGATGGGATTAGTGGTAAAGGAGGTCAGTGGCTACAGGGCGAATTGCACTGAGCGAAGGCCAGACATGAACTAGACCTTAATAGAAATAGGCAGGGGATCAACAGCAAGAATCCTGTAAGTGGAGACTGTTAGTTACACAATACAATGATTGGCAAGGTAGTGGAAAGCGGCAAAGATTGAAAGGCTTGAAAATAAATATGGGGGGAAGAGGTGGGTGGAAGGAAAACCGAGAAAGAGACTAAAAAGCATTGGGAGAGAAGAAGCAAAAGGAAGAAAGATGATTTCTAAAATGAATAAAAATAAATCATCCTAGTCCAAACAACTTTGATTCTTTTCTCAAAACTAACTAAATCCCTGTAATGGGCTTGAAAGTTTAAGGTCCATAACTGTGGGTGAGAAAATGTGGTCTGTGAACCTGTAGAAGATAAGTCTGGAGTTGAGCAATGACAGAGACTCTAAGAGATGGAAACAAGGGAGAAGATGGATATTTGAGATGGGATTTAGACAGGAGGAAAGAGGGAATTTTTTTTTTTTTTTTTTTTGAGATGGAGTCTCACTCTTGTTGCCCAGGCTGGAGTGCAGTGGCACGATCTCGGCTCACTGCAACTTCTGCCTCCTGGTTTCAAGCGATTCTCCCACCTCAGCCTCCCAAGTAGCTGAGATTACAAGTGCCCACCACTACGCCCAGCTAATTTTTGTATTTTTTAGTAGAGACGGGGTTTCACTATGTTGGTCAAGCTGGTCTCAAACTCCTGACCTCAGGTGATCTGCCCACCTCAGCCTCCCAAAGTGCTGGGATTACAGGTGTGAGCCACCGCACCCGGTTAAGATAGGGAAATTTAAAGAGCTATAAGAGAGGAAGGGAAAGAGGGACACTGTGTTTTCTTATGTCATTAAAATGTCATGACATTTCTCAGTTTCCTACTTTATGTCAATTCCTGAACCAAAAAATAAAAAGAATCAGAAAAAGTATAAAGTTCAGTACCTGCTCTTAGTTTGCCATCGAGTCCAACAGAATTACTTACTCACCATATATTTGCTGAGCATCACCTATGCACGAGGACAATTATGTTCAGTGCTATGGGAGATAATAAATAAGACACAGTTGCAAGCCTCCTCAATCTTACAGAACAAATAAAAAGCCCTGGCATTCTATCTGCAAAGATAATCCACATGTAAAACAATCAGAAAATAGTACAAGAATTATTATTGCATTATTGTTGCATAATAAGAGTGCATTATTTGTGATAATGTCAATTCACCATGACCCACCAATTCCACTTCTGGCTTGCAACTCAGAGAACTTCTTCCATGTATGTACCTGGAGGCATACATAAAGATGTGGTAATACTGTTTGTAAGAGCACATAGCTAGAAATAACCTAAATTTCCATTGATAAGAAAATAGATAAATAAATTGTGCATATTTATATCATGACAACATGCCATATAGCACGAAAAGTGCCTGGACCAGATGGATATGACCCCAGATAGATAATATTGAGAGAAAAAATCATGTAGAAGAATATTATTTTTATAAATTAGACATTTAGAAAACATATAAAGTGATACCACATATATTTCTATGAATACATAAGTGCTGAAAGTGTCCACATATGTTCTAGAAGGGGTTGTGGAAGGAGTAAGGATAATAAGTCTGAGATGGACAATAATGAAAATATCAATTCTATCTAGGATTTCCTGTATATTTTATTTAAAAATCTGAATCAAAGTGATAACAGATTAATATTTATTAATTTCAGGTGGTGGGTACACAAGCTTTGTAATATTATTCTTTGCATTATTCTGTATTTCTTAAATGTCAACAAAAACCTGTAAGACAATAATGTAGTTATGAAATTGCAGATATAGAATCCAAATTGTGAATCACAAATTTAAAATCTTACCAGAGCAGGAGGGCAACTTCAACGAACAAGGAGTGAAACGGGACAGCCGGAGAGGACATGTGTACACCAGGTGAGGGGTGGGGCAGAAACAGCATACCCTGTCCGAAGTGGGCAGTTGCCATGCAGCTTCAGGAGAATGTTGGACTACAGGGTGTTGGACTTAGTGCTGCCAGATGTTTCTGATTTTGCAAATGTGGGCTCCATTGGAAAAAGTACACACCAAGCAAGATACACCTGTGAGTCACTGTGAGCCCCATGAAAGGAATTCAATATAAGGAAATGAGAAAGAACTTGGGCTTCCTGAAAGAGGTGAGACTTATATGTGGGGTTTTGATAAGAAATGAGGAGTGTTTTTTATTTTATTTTTTTAACAAAAGCTGAATATACCATTTATGACAACATTGGTGAACCAAGAGGACATTATGTTAGGTGAAAAAAGCCAATCATCGAAGGACACATACTTTATGATTTTACTTACATAAGGTATCTAAAATAGTCAAACTCATAGAAGCAGAGAATAGAGTGATAATTGCCAGGGGCAGGAGGAGGTGAAAATGAAGAGTTCTTCAATGCACATAAAGTTCCAATTATGCAAGATGAGTAAGTTCTAGAAATCTGATGTATAACATAGTGTCTGTATTTAGCAATACATTATTGTACACTTTAAAATACATCAAGAGGACAGAATTCATGTTAAATGTTCTTACCCAAAAAAACTCACAAAAGAACAAAAGGTAATTTTTGGAGATGATAGGATATGTTTAGTAACTGCAATTGTGGTGATGGTCATGGTTGTACATATACATCCAAACTCATCAAAATGTATACATTAAATATGTGCAATTTTGTATATATCAATTATATCTCAATAAAACTTTTTTAAAGAAATAAGGAAACTTCTAAGCCATTTCATAAAAAGTATATTTTCAATATTTCATTAGGCAGTGCAATTGGAGAAGCAATTTATAGCTAGGGGAAATATGTAAAAACTGTCAAAAATTCAAATGGTATTTTTAATATATTTACAATGGATAAAAACCCATGGGCATTCTTGTTCAGGGTCAAACTACAACCCACGGGCCATGTCTGGCCAGCTCTATGGTTTGGACGGCCCACAAGCTGAGAGTTATTTTTACATTTTAAATGGTTGGGGGGGAAAAGCAAGTGAAGAATTATATTTTATGACATGCATGTGAAAATTATATGAAATTCAAGATTCAGTGTTCATAAAGTTTTATTGGAACACACAGATGCCCATTTGTCTCCATACTGTCTATGGCTGCTTTCACCCACTAGGCTAGAAGGATTGAATAGTTGCAACAAAAGCCCTATGGCCAGCAAAGCCTAAAATCTTTACTGTGTGGCCCTTTACAGGAGTCTGCCAACCCCTGCTCTAGCTGGCCAAAACTCTTCCCTGCAAGTGGCCTGTTTCTTGATCATTAGATCACAGAGATTACCAACATGTCCAATGTTCTTCAATAGAGGTTATTATTTCACTTAGTCCTCACATCCACATGAGGAAACGGGAGCTCAGAGCGGAGTGAAGCAAGGCACTAAAGTCACATAGGTGGTAAACAGCCAGCTGAGCATTTTCCCTGGAAAGTGAATCTCCAAAGCCCATGCTCTCAGTCACCACACCATCCCTCCCCCTGAGCCCACACAGCAATCCATTGATCAAAATAAGCTTTTTCCTTCCAGGCTGTTGCCAGTCCCCAGTATACCCTACCATCATCCAATACCCCCTCTGCAGGCATGGATTCTGCTTTTGTGTTCCTTGGCACAAACAAGAGTGTGCCTCTGAGTTGCTGGCAAGCCTGGCGACAATCTGAAGGTTATGAATCAAGCAGCCAGCCTGAGAGGTGATGACTTGGGAGTTCCACCGGATTTGCCGATTACTCGAATGACTTACTTTGGGCAAAGTAAAATCAGGCTCTTCCAGCAAACAACAGAGAATTGAAAAACAGATCAATGGAAGCAGCTCTGGTTCATTTTCAACGACTTTATCGGATGCAGTTACTAGAGGCTAAACAATGCATTTAAGCTCAGTGCTGAGCCTCTGCGTTGTGCTAAGGCTGTATTTAAAAGAATGATCCCTGCTAGGCATGTGGTCACAGTTTTTTAAGTGGAAAAGGCTTCATTTAAAAAAAGAAAAAAAAACCTCTGCAGCTTTGGGGTTTGCATAATTTTCTAAGCAAAATGATCTTTCTACCCTTCACTTTGGCTGTTAGTTCTGCTGGTGGAACAATTAATCAGAGATTTATGCCAATTACAACTGGATTTATAAGAGGAGTCAACAAGGCAATTGGCCCTAGCCAAAGGTATCTGTAGCCCTTTTCACCTCTCACTTTCCTCTACTGTCCAGGCACATTCCTACCACTCCATGTCTGCTCACACTGTTCCACCCACCAGGAATGTCCTTGCTCCCTCTTTTCTGTATAGCCATGAACCCCTTTACAGCCACTCTGTCTTCAATCACATCTTTGATATCTAACGGCAACTAAAATGTTTCCCATACTGGCCAGGCGCACTGGCACATGTGTCTGTAATTGCAGCAATTTGGGAGGCTGAGGTGGGCAGATCACTTGAGCTCAGGAATTCAAGAACAGCTTGGGCAACATGGCAAAACCCCACCTCTATAAAAAATACAAAAATTAGCCGGGAATGGTAGCAAGCACCTGTAGTCCCAGCTACTTGGGAGGCTGAGGTAGGAGGATCACTTGACCCCTGAGCCTGGGAGGTCAAGGCTGCAGTGAACCATGACCGCATCACTGCACTCCAACCTGGGCAACAGAGTGAGACCCTACCTCAAACAAACAAACAACATCAACAACAACAACAAAACACATTTATACCATACCTTACCATTTAATCATTATCTAATTATTTCATGTATTTATCGTACTTCTTCAAATGGATTGTGAATTAACATCAAGAACTAGGTCTGCTGTGACTTGGTGTCTGGCAGCATAGCAGGCACTCATCTTACTAAGTAAACAACTGGTATACTGCCACTGTTTCCCCACACATCTTGGTACTCCTTGATGGAACAAACCTTAGAGAATTATAGTACCTTCCTTTAAATTTTACCTTCAAGCCTGGAGCTTGAAATTCACATTCCTTGCTCTTATTTTGCCTCTTTATGAACATGTGAGCTGAGCCTCAGTGTCCTCATCTGCCCAATGATGCCAATCCTATCTACCTTCCAGAGTTGTTGGGAGATTTCCATAAAATCAAGTTTGAAAAAGTGCTCAATGTGATACCTGGCACAAAAAAAAAAAAAAAAAAAAAAAGATGCTGAATAGTCACAAGTTGGCTGCAAGGTCTTCACTGGGTTCCTCCAAATCAGACTAAATTCTCCTTAAGCATTTTAGACATTCACTCATGGTAAGAAGTGTCTGATCTCTTTCAGAGAAGCTGTACTTCTCCCTTCTAAGATTTTTTTTTTCTAGGAAGCTGCTAGGTTCTCTTTGGCCCCTGTAAAACTATAGCTAAATCATAGCCAATTGGTTCAAACATTTCTTATCAGGAAAGAATTTCAAACATAGCTTTGAGGATGCAGGAAAGCAGTGTTTTTCTATCTGATTCCACATCTCAGTCAAGCTAAAGAAAAGCTCTCTTTAAAGTGCTAATCAAAGGGCAAACAGCCTTTCATGAAATAGTGGACCAAAGAGGCCCAAGTGCTGCAACAGCCACAGGCATCTCATCATCTGGAGAGCCACTGCCTGAGACTGCAATAGGCCCTCCAGCTTGTCAGTCAGCCTGTCCTCAGCCTTAAGTAATAAGAACAGTCACATTTCATTTTGAATTTGGCTAGACTAGATGGTTCCCATTACAGTTACCAGGGGGATGTTTAAATAATAACATCTGAAAAGACAGTAGTAAAAAGAGCAATAAAGGTAGCCAAGTCCCAGGCCTCCACTCTGGGGACTGTCTCCCATGTAAATCCTCCTGCAAAGCTACGGTGTTAGAAATGTCCATGTTCCTGGAGCACTGGCCTCCAGGAAAAGTGGAAATTGGGCAGATTATTGTGAAAGGTGGAGGAAATCAGAATCATTCCCAGTAAGCTCCTCATTCTCTAGCTGCCCTTTTGTGCCCACATGCCATTCCACCCCAATGTATCATAACCTCCATATAGACACCTCTACACACATATGCAGTCTGCTCTGATTCCTATCCAACCCCAGCCCCCATGATTTGCACCTACTGCATTCTGACCATAGCATTTCAGAATCTCTAGAGATCTATAATCAATTTCCTAACATGCTAGAGCCATGGGCCAGAAAAATCACAACAATCACAACAAAGGTAAGATTTTTAGAAGTCACTTGATTCTTCCATTTAATAATTCATTTATCCAGTACATATATACTGTTAAATCCTCCATGTTAGCACAAGCCTGGTAAATATATGGCACTGAAAGAACAAGATACACAAAGATCCTCCCTCATGGGAACTTAAAGTCACATGCAGGGATGTCTGTGCACGTGTGCACATGTGTGTGCATCCACATGTCTGTCTTAAGGGTAGATGAAGATGGAGGGGAAAGATATTCAACAACTAATACCCTTTGTATTAACATTTATTATCTAAAGTGCTGTGAAGGAAAAAATAAATAAGGCCAGATAACATAGAGCGTGGGAACCCATCCTGATCTGGCAGGCTATGAGAACTGATATTTAAACTGAGATCAGAAAGATACTTAGAAATTTAGTTGTTTAAGTAGGGAAGGCAGGCCCATTCTGGCAGATACAAAGAACCTGGGGGCAGGAAGGCACCAGTGCATCAGAAAAGGGTGGTCAGGTCAGGGAGGTTGGAGAAAAAGCCCCAAGCAGGTGGTCAATATAGATACTTGTAGGCCATTCTATGAGTTTAGACTCTATCCTAAAGGCAATGGAAAGGGCTCCATGGGTTTTAAGAAAACTGGTGATTTGATCAGATTTTTTAATTTCAAAAATATCACTCTGGATACAGGTCAAATTCCTAAATGTGACCTAAAATCTTTCATAGTCTTACTCCCTTAACACCCAGCCACCCTCTTTCATGGTTCTTACCTTTGTTTGTGTTCTTTCCTTTGCCTTGGAATCATTCATTCATTCAACGATTACTGACTTCCTACAACATGCCAATCCTTGCTTTCAGCACTGAGTTTATATTAGTGAATAAAACTGTTAAAAATCTATGCTTTCTTGGAACTTACATTTCATTCTCTATTATATGGTTTTCCACTTGTGAACTGCTATGAAAACTTCCAGACCAACTCAGTTGTCACCTACTGTGTGTGTGAATTCTTCGTTTTCCTCTGCTATCTCCTGGCTGTATAACTAGGGTACCATGATGATTACTTTATCCCCACTTACTCTCACCACTTAAGTCTGAGAGCTCCTTGCAGACAAATAATTTCATTTGCCTTTATAAAATCTCCTAAGTTCTAACAAGGTCTGATATATATTAGAAGCTCTCTAACTGTTAAATATATAAATTCTCCAAATCAATGGATAAGAGAAAGCAACAGAACCTTAGAGTGGCTGTTTTTTCTCCCTGACCACACAGAGCTAAAGAGAGAATCAGGGTTAACAGTAAGGGGAAGGATACACAGTATTTGAATGACCTACTTTATTAATAAGTTTTCAATTCAACGGCAAAGCTAAGCATTCTTGTCCCCAAATGGACTCCCTGTCTTCACAGTTCCTACAGAAATACATAATATTTTAAAACTCCTATTTCAATCTTTGCCATTGCCATTCCACAACTGGGCAACCCTAGTAGGCCAGTTGGTTTCAATACCATTTTCAAATTTAGAATAGAGATAGAAATCACCTCTTGGCAACCCTTCCAGGGCTTGTCCAGCTATCTGAAGAGTCCTGACAAAATCTGTGTTGTTTTCATACAAAAGAAACTCTGAATTTAACAAAATGTGAAAACAGGTAACTTGAATTGTTTATATTCATTTTGATGAATACTTCCAAGATCCATCTTAATTTCATAAAAAGATCCCCTATAAGAAAATGATTATGCTCTATTCTCTAAGTATCTTGATAAGAAAATAAAACAGGCACAGAAGCTCTGTCAAGCTCTTAGGGAGTCTTGGCCAGGAGGAAAGGAAAACAGGAGTGCTATCTCATCTTTTCAGTAAATGGTTTGGCTCTGAGGTCAATCTCCCTCATATCCATGTGACCAGCTAAACTCCATCTGAAGCTGAGAAAAAAATTATTACCATTTAAGATTAGATGAACACAGAACTTAAGCTGTGGCCTTAAACTTGCTAGGGAATACCAGGTCATGTAGAGATTGGCATACACATGATGTTGTTCAAAGTAATGCCCAAAAGAAGATGCAATGAGTTCAAATAGGCCTCATAGACGAGAATGGGGCCAAACTATAAGATTTGATCAAAACTGCATAAATACAGTTACAAAGAATTTTTTTATAACTGATCACTTATTGGCTCCTAGATTGGCCTTTCTTCCAAGTCCATCACCATTGGAAAAAGACTAATTCAAACTATAAAGAAATCTATGTGTACAAAAGTTAAAACAAGAGCAGTGTCCCTAAGCGTAGGAAGATCATACACCCTTCCACCGAACCAGCACAGATGCACGCTGTGAGCCCTTCTGTGCCAACTCCACACTGTAGCAAATATCCCTTAATTTTGCCCAACAAGACTCCACTCTGTCCAGTGAAGAGCTGAGGTGTAAGGTTCTCCAGCCAAATGGGAGTAGGGGAGGTGGGGGACAGTATTGGTTGGTGGAGGATTACGGTTACCCACTCACCATGTACACATGTGCACACATAAACACAGGTGATCAACTTCTAAGATTAAATCTCATTATAAAAGAGTATAGAAAAAAATTTACAGTGAAATAATCTGAAGCAAAATAACTGTGGAGTGTGTGTCTGTGTGTGTTTGTGTGTGTGTGTGTCTATGAGAGAGAGAAAGAGACATCTCTTACAATATTTCTGATTTCAATAAGTTGACTGTTTTACTCCCTCCATCCCTGCCCCTGCTCCTTATCTCCCACTAGACTGTTTTGGAAAGAGAAAAAAACCATCTAACGACATAAGTTTTCTGTTTGCTTGGGTTTTAAATAAATGGGAATTTGCTATAATTCTTTAAATTCTATTAGAAACCTTGACTGTTCAATTAGGACCCTAGCCTCCCTAATCCTGGCAGTAGCTTTTTGAGTTTGTAGGTATAAAAATAAGTATTTCCATTTTATAGATGAGGAAATTTTGGCCCAGAGATTGGACCACTTTGGTGTAGGGTTCCCTGGGAAAAATCCAAGGCCTCAATGAAAGTAGAACCAGTGTCTCTGGTCTTCTTCCTGTCACAGCAAAAGAAGTACTCACGTCATGATGTGGGTCTCCATTCCTGCCTCCACCAGAGCCCCGTCAACAAAGAGAGGAACCGAAGTGAAACCATACTTGTCCCAAGAGTGGCCCTCATCAAAACTCACCCTGTGTTGGAAACAAGTACACAAAAAAGACAGCTGAAAATAAAGCCACACTCTTCTGTAACCGTTTTTCAGGTTATTAAATTTTCCTCTGTATCTTGCTTTCTGGCAGTGTGGATTATCAATAGGTTTTAATCTTCAACATCTCCCCATATTATTATGAGATTTGATCAAAACTGCATTTCTGGACTTGGGCGGAGACAGCACCTAGAGTTGCAGATATATTTCAACACATTAGAATCGACAAACAGCCCAAGCAGGAGGGCTTAGTGGATGGAATGTCACGTTTCAAGTACTCAGAATGGAACCTGAGGTTCAATTTACAGCACAATCCATTCAGCCCTTGGAGGTTCTGACACAAACTGAGTAAGGCTGGTGGACCCAATGGAAAGGGAGGGGGTTTGTCTTTCAGATCAAACCTTACAAACAGCAATTTTCTATTTGTTCAAAACAGATGTTAGGACCATTTTCCCTCCCCAGTGCCACTTTAAGGGGCTTTTAGGGATGACCACTGAGAGTCTGAGATGTTCTGAGCAACACTGCCTCATCTTTCATCCAAAGGTAAGAGGAAGGTCTGGCCCCTTGTGGAAACAGAACCTGCAATGCTTTAAAGAGATGTAACTAGTGGAAGAGACTTGACCAATTCTGAGTGCTTGTTTCCTTTCCTTTCTTGATATTATCAAGGACCTTTCTGCCCCTTGATTTAACCAGGGGGCATAGCCCAAGGACCATCTCCTCTGAGAAGCTTTTCTCAGCATCCCTTCTTTCCCAAGACAGCCTTAGTTTCTTCATCCTCTATCATAGGATCCTCTATCATAGGTTCATTTTTGTTCTGGCTGATTCTTAATTCTACTCTATTTCCATAATTTAGGATTAAAATTCCCTTCTGTATGTTCCTATAATACCCAGGCCTTCTCCTATCATAGTGCTGACTACTGACTCCTTAACTGATCTTGAATATCTCAACTCAAGATTATAAACTCTGCGAGTTCAGAGATCATGTATGTCTTATCATTGAAAAACCCCTTAATAACAAATATAACACAAATATATCTCTCTTACAATGCTCCGCACAGTATGTGTGTGTGTATACACACACACACACATAAATCCTAATATATGCACATAATATTTATATATATAATATATATAATGGTAAATAAGATGTCTGATTCTCCCACCACACTGTGAAGGGTTTTTGTTTGTTTGTTTGTTTGAGACGGAGTCTCACTCCGTTGCCAGGCTGGAGTGCAGTGACACGATCTCGGCTCACTGCAACCTCCGCCTCCCAGGTTCAAGTGATTCTCCTGCCTCAGCCTCCTGAGTAGCTGGGACTACAGGCACGTGTCACCAAGCATGGCTATTTTTTTGTATTCTTTGTAGAGAAAGGGTTTCACTGTGTTAGACAGGATGGTCTCGATCTTCTGGCCTCGTAACCCACCCACCTAGGCCTCCCAAAATGCTGGGATTATAGGCATGAGCCACCGTGCCTGGCCATGTTTTTTGTTTTTTTAAAGAGACAAGGGTCTCACTCTGTTGCTCAGGCTGGAGTGCATCGGCGTGATCATAGCTCATTGCAGCCTTGAACTCTTCAGCTCAAGTGATTATCCCGCCTCAGCCTCCCAAATAGCTAGAACTACAGGTGTGTACCACTGGACCTGGCTAATTTTTTTTTTTTTAATTATTTTTGTAGAGGTGGGGTGTTGCTTTATTGCCCAGGCTGGTCTCAACCTCCTGGCTGCAAGCAATCCTCCCACTCGGACTCCCAAAGTGCTGGGATTACAGGTGTGAGCCACCATGCCCAGCCTAACCTGGGAGTATTTTTTTTAGGTCAAACACCATACCGTTAATTCTTCTATTCTTAGTATTTAACAGAAAACCTGGCATATAGTTGATACTATATACATGTTAAATGAATACATGAATGAAATAATAAGGAATAATGACGGGCCCTCTTTAAATCCATCCAATCATTTCTCAAGCATGACTTATACTGGCACTCATAAGTTGGGTGTGAATTACCACCCCATTAGCAGCCAGCCTACATGGTTCACTCTCTACTCACTTACTTCTTTGTCTTTCTATCTCTCTGTCTCTCTCTATTTTATTCTATTTTATCCTCTCTGTCCTAATGTACAGATTAAAAACAATAATAAAGTCAATCTCTTAACCCAGCTAAAGTAACCAGTCTCTCAGACAATTTTTGCATTTATGGTATACCTTGATCCATGTTCACGAATGAAATGCAGACAGTCTGCCATAAACATCTTCATGAGTTTCTAAATTATCATCATCTGTCTTGAATTTTAAGGACTTGATTATTTCAGCCTTTTAAAAAAATATATTGAAGGCTAAATAATCATTTAAACTAGCCCCAAGAAAGTTGGGCATATCTAAATTGCTTGTCAAAGAAACAGGTTTCTCATTTCAAAAGTGAAAACATGTATAATTGGAAATGAACTTTACTTTTCTTACCATGTAGTCCGTCAGTTCCTAAAATAATCATAGTTGTTTCAGAGTGTGTCGTGGCTACTAACAAGTCAACTCTGGCCAATAAGTCCGGAAGGTAAGAAAGTATTAGTTGGGTTTTTTGTTTGGTTTGTTTTGGCGACTTTGGGTAAATTGGTTTTTGTCTTGGCAGATGAAAGCCAAAGTGAATTTAAGGCCTCTCTCTGTCTCATTCTCAGGATTTCCTTATCAATAAAAGGTTAGCATGAGCCAGGTGCAGTGGCCTGTAATCCCAGCACTTTAGGAGGCTGAGGCAGGTAGATCACCGAAGTCAGGAGTTTGAGACCAGCCTGACTAACACGGTGAAGCCCTGTCTCTACTAAATACAAAAAAAAAAAAAAAAAAAATTAGCCAAGCATGATGGCGCATGCCTGTAATCCCAGCTACTTGGGAGGCTGAGGCAGGAGAATCGCTTGAATCTGGGAGGCAGAGGTTGCAGCGAGCCGAGATTGTGCCATTGCACTCCAGCCTGGGCAACAAGAGTGAAACTCCATCTCAAAACAAATAAATGAATAAAAAAGGTCAGCATTAGCAGAGCAAATTGCAGTGAGTGCCATGAGCATTGCAGGGAAGGAGTCGTCTTCACATCACTGCCATAATGAGCAGAGCACAGGACAGCCATCTTTAGTTTATACAATGAAGAGAAGACACACAGAGAGCCGACACGGAGAGACCATCGCAGCCTTCCAGTATTGAGATACGACCTCCAAGGCAAAGCTAAGTCCAGATGGGGAGAGAAATTGTAGATGATCAAGGTCCTGCTACATGAAATGAGTTCACACGGAAGGAGCAAAATGCCTGCTAGAGGAAAGAGCGGATCGGCAGATACCTAAAGGAAGGATGATAAACAACAACGTCCAGGTAGAAAAGGTAGCATAGACAATAACTGAAGCCCAAAGATGACATAAGTAAGCACAAGCAAGTGGGCAGGACTCTAGAGCTAGGGCGATCTGAGACCAGCGATTTCTAACACTTTATTCTCACACTGAGGCAGTTATGAAGAATAAAACTCCCTAAAGAAACTCCAAAAAAAATAACATTAGAAAACTTAATCTCTTAGTTATAAAATATTTGGGTCTGGATAGGCTGCCATTTGTGAAACTTATTATTATTATTATTATTATTTTGATGACTAGAAGTTTTCAAATATCCTGAGGTGATATATTGTATATTGAATTCTATATTGAATGGTATCCCCAAGGGATGTACCTTCTCCTCCTCAGGTCAGTAGCTCATTAATGGCCAAGACAAAGGAACTGTGAATTCCTTAATAGCTCCACAGGGAAACTGAAATCAGTAGGATTGCCAATACTCAGGGAGACAGAAGTAAAATTCCAATTGATCTCCAAATAGTGGCAACATAGGACTACAGAATCAAAGTCAAATAAAATGAATTTATCAAAATGTTACTGATGCCTACTACTATGTGCCTGATCTGGCAGTGACCTCAGTTCTAGGGATACAGAAATGAACAGAAAAGGAAAGGTCCTAGCTTCCACGGAACTTACTTTCTAGTGTGAGGAGATGAACAATTTGGAAATAAATAAATGCAAAACTATGAGTTAGAAATAAATATCATGGAAACAACTAAAATAAGGTGATTTGATAGTCACCAAACAGCTACTTTCTACTAAAAATTTAAGAAAGCCCTTTCTATGTAGGTGACATTTACACTGAAATCTAAATGATAAGTGGAAGTATCCATGTAAAGATTCAGGAGAAAACCATTACAGAGGAAAGGTCTAATATGAAAAAGCTGCCCTGTGAGAAGAACAGAAAGATGGTCAGTGGCTGTAGCTTAGTGTGAAAAGGGATTAGTTGAAAGAATTAGTAGAAGAAAATAAGGCAGAAGTCAAATCATGAAGGACCTTATTTTCAGTTGAAATAATATAATTTGATTTAAGCTTTAAAAGACAAGTTTCACTTCTCTGTGATAAACGGATTGTCAACACCCAAAGTGGATTCAAGGAAATGAGTTGGGGAGGGGTGGTAATTTAAGAGACCACACCAAGATGGGGCTTGGATGAAGATTATTAATAGTGGAAAAAAAATGGAAATATTTAGGTTATTTTTAGAGATGAAGTCAATGAATTTGGTAACAAAATATATAGAGGTTGCATGAGCAAAAGAAAGAAGTCATGGAAAATATTGATTTGGGGGAGTGTTAAACAATTGAGGGGGAAATTAGAAGAACAGAAGAAGCAGTTTTTTTGGTTTCTTTCTTTTTTTGTTGTTGTTTTTTTGTGTTTTTGAGACAGAGTCTCGCTCTGTTGCCAGGCTGGAGTACAGTGAGTCGATCTCGGCTCACTGCAATCTCTGCCTCCTGGGTTCAAGCGATTATCCTGCCTCAGCCTCCTGAGAAGCTGGGACTACAGGCGCTTACCACCACACCCAGCTAATTTTTGTTTAACATCTGTTTGTTTCTGTTTTGGTCCATGTCAAGATTGATGCTTTTTGGACTTCCATACTGTAATATTGTTAAGAAGACCTTTTGATGGATGGATCTAGATTTCTCATCATAATTAGGGATGTAAATTTGGAAGTCATTTATAAGACAGAAACAACTTAAAGCAGAATACTTAATACAAAAAAAACAAAAACACCAAGACCTACCACTAGAGAAATGAAATTAGCTAATAAAATATATAAAGCTGGAAAGAAACTGGAGTCATTTGTCAACTACAAGTTAAATATTTTCTGGCAATGCCACTATCATGAGAGGTAATCAAGCCACCGTGAGTGTAGGATGTGCTCACAGATATATTACAAGCATAAGAAAAGAAATCATCCTTCTACCCAATCCTAAATACTATGTTCAATTTTAATAAGTGTAGAAAAACTGACAATAAGAGTAATTAAAGGTAAAAAGCAAATGGTTCTAGAAACAGGTTATATGAATTTTAGGCAGCTTAGGGAAAAAGAAGAAGAAAAACTGAATTAATTACCATTGCATCTTAATTTTTGTAAATGAGAAAGTTTCCAAATATTTTAAAGGGCTATTTATCGACTACCAGAAAGGGATAATGTCAGTGAAGGAAATTAGACAGAATGTAGTTAGATAGGTGGAACTATTAATTATTTAACATACAGATAGAATAAGGGAATAACATACAGATAGAATAAAGATTTCCATGTGACCCTTCTAAAGAGAACAGTCAAATATTTGTGGATAAGAATATAAGTTCCCAAGTACACACTACCATTCAACAGTGTATCCCAACCCCTATTCTAACGCTAGATAAATAACATATGCTCAACAAATATGTATGCAATAAATGAACAAATGAATAAAATCTGTCTTGAGTTGCATATCATGTCATTTCCCAGAACTTAAAAAGGCTTTTCTAGCCTAAGGTATTTCTAAGAAATACATTGAGGTCCTTCCCAGCTGTACTTTTCTAAAAATCATACGTAACTCTGTAGCAGGCTTATTCTGCATAGATCTGAGTGGCAGATTACAGGTCAATGCACAGAGATTACAAGTAGATTTACTATTGCTCAGCATGAAAAACAATCTTTCTAACAACTAAAGCCATTATACAAGATGGGAACTACGTAAGGTGGGCATTTGCAGGTCAATTAGCACTGTGATATTCTGGTAAAGTGAGGTAACTTTTTGGGGGTGTCACAAAACTATCAGCTACACCAGGTATAATACTAGTTTAAAGGACTTCTATAAGACCTTTTCCTACTTCAGGTGTCTATGACTATGATACTAACATGACATAAACTAAAAGGAATAGAATCTGCCAATAACAATCAGAATCCTCCTCAGAAGTCTCTAGCACAGAAATAGAGAGCTACAGTGGTCATTGAGAATCAATGTTCCTCCCTCTGGTAAGGTGTATTGCTCCATTTCATTTTATCCCCAGTACATGAGGTGGTAGCATTTTAGCCACCTGGAAGTTCTTCAGAACAGTACATGCACTTTTGCTTTTCAGAGACATGTATTGTTTGGAACTATTGTTTTCATTTGAAAGTTTCTCTGAACAAAATGCTAGCACAAACAACCAAAGAAACACAAAAGGCCAGGTGATGTTTTCCTTTCTGTTTCCAAGAACATCCCATTGAGAGACACTGACAGCTTGTCAGGGCTAAGCAAACAGTCACACCCTCGTCTACCTGCCCATTAGGTGCTCTGCCGATTGTGAGTTTTCATCAGATCTCTCTATTCAGTGGGGGCCCATTGTTTATCTCACTCTAATGCTTCTCAGGTACAAAGGAGATGGAGGGTTTCCCTGAAATAGCACTTAGTTCTAATCTCAATGCATCCAAAAGTACATGGTCACAAACAGATGGATTCATTTGTATGCTGTTTTGCGTTCACGCCTATCTGGCTACCTATCATTTCAATTTGTAGGAAACAACATGCCTAGTTAGCCTAGCTAAAGTTTCCCCAGCTTTTCAATTATTACTCTTATTTTCTCTTAAAGGTGATGTAGCTATTATTTAAATCTGAGAGCCACTACATCCCAGTGGGTAATCTGGTGTCTTTTTCCTATTCAAATATTAATATACATACATCTGTATATAAAACAATGTCAGTCTGAGATCTATGACAGAAAATGGCAATGAACTGATTACCTAACCTATCTTCCTCTTAAAATGAGCTTTGTTTACCTTGAGGGTTGTCACTTAATTAGAAGCTCCTAGTGAAGAAAAAGCTGGCTTAAGTTTCAGAAGCTTGTATCTCACAAGCAGGAGACAAGATCAGTCAACAATTTCATAAGAAAACATTGATGATAATAACATTGTCAAGCCCTTACAAAACACTCACTTAGCCTTTGAAAGAGGAGTGCAAAGGATAATTCCCAAATGAGTTGGTTGTTGTTGCTGTTGTTTTCTAACACATATACTCAACAGCTGGCATTTAACCCCTTCGAGGGATTGCTTTAGAGAATGGCATTCATAGAAAGGCAAGTAAGCAAAAATCATGGTCTCTGTCATGTTCAAGAAAACATTTGTAGCATTTATGACAAATGGCAGTATCAACATCCTATAAATGGGATAATGCCATTTCAAAAGCTTAGTTTGAAAAATCATTCTTAATACTTTGTAAGTTAGAACAGCCAAACAAATGGAGGGTGATATTATCATTGTTATTATAAGAGGAAATTCAGTGGCAGTGCAGTTCTTTTTTTTTTCTGAACTCTATAAACATTTTTACCAAGAAAAGAGATATATTACATTGAACAAGGGAAAACTCAAACTTAGTAGTGATGACTTTGAGAGTCATGATTTGGTCCTACATAAATATCCCTAAATGAATATTGAGTAATTTTCCCAACTTGGATGGTTTCCTTCCAGGCATAATCAGACAAGTACTCCGTTTGGAAGTGAGGCAGTCTTTGGAGATAAACTTTTGTGGATCAGACTGGACGGTTAGATGTAAGGATGCCAATATTTGACAAAACCAACACTCTCTTCCATGTACTCTTGCCATGTCAAATATGCTCTTCTCTTCTACCACCAAAAGGAAATGACAAAAATAAACTCTTTCTTTCCTCAGCACAAGGAAACTTCTGCAGAATGCTTTTAAGAATCAATGATTAAGTGCATGCTAGGTCCCTACCACAATCAAGGAGAGTGATGGCCAAGTTTAAGGGTCGGTTGCTAGCCTCTTCTCCAGGACTTATAGGGAAGAAACCAGGCCAGCTAAGTCTGTCTGTAGGACATTTATCAACTCTCTTATGAAGATTTAGATGGAAGTTTTTAACATGATGGGAGCTAAGAAACATTGCCTTGCTTGGTTTAAAAACAAGCTTGTTTTAAGACTCAAGCTGTCTTCTCTGAGAGTGCAAGTCCTACTCAGTCCACAATAGAGATAGCTCTTTCCTCTACAGAGGCAGATGGGTTTTGTTAGCAGAAAAAATTACCTACCAGACCAACTTTAATCCCTTAAACTGGCATGTAAGTTCGTCTGAGTCCTACCCACCTCTATTTACATTTTTGGTCTCAATCAAATAGTACCCTGAACACTCCCTACATTACTTGAATTCTGGACTTCGGTCAAAGTTTCTTCTTTCCCTGGCTTGCCTCTCACCTCTCCTGTAAATCCTAGTATCCCTCTCTCAAAGGTCAGCCCTCACATCACCTGCTGCAGGAGATGACATGAGGGCTGAACTTTGAGAGAAGGATGCCAGGCTCCTTACACACCAGGCTTCAGTATTCCAGCAATACACACAGCTGGCATCCTTTAGCAGACATTGCTTTCACTTCTAGTCACACATGTACTGCCTAAACACCTTATCTTGAGTATAGTCTCCTGGAGGGCAGGGACTATGTCATAAGCCTAGGTGTACTTGTTATAGTATATAGAAAATTAGCAGCCAGAACAGAAGAGCATCCATGACAGAAATCGAACTTGGTGCTGCCAGGTATACATGTCTAGCCTTGAGAAAGGTATTTAACATGTTTGCTTTTTGATGCCATTATAAGTGGGTGATAAAAAGGTACCTACATACATAGGTTGGGCAAGCATTAAATGAGATAATTCATGTAAATGGTTTAGAACAGTGCCTGGAAAGTCCCTTAATAAATACTGACTATCATTAATATCAAGCAATTCTAGTCTTTGGATACTACCAAAAAACTATATAAATCAGTAGTAAAAGGATAAGAAACAATTACACTGGGAACTTTTACAAGCTCATCCTTGAGGTGGGAGAGCGCTCCTCTTACAAATGGCTCCATGCATCTTTTCAACATTTATATGCACAATCTCTCCATATCATAGTGGTAGAACTATTTCACTATAAGCTAGGTTAAGCTTTAAGAAACTGGTAATATTTGATCATTTTTGACCTAAAAATGGCGATTTCATACGGTTTCACTTAAAATGGTCAAATTGAGAGAATCCTTCTTAAGTCCTTGCCAAAAGGACTGAAGCTTGGATTTGGCATTAGGGAATTCTAAGCCTTTCCTGATTACAGTCCGATGCTTTCCAGTAAAATTCTTACTCTAAACTTGTTTATCTCCCAATATCTAAGACCTGGTAGTTAGGCTAGGGTCCACCTTGCTGCCCATGTGAATCCGACCAACTGTACTCTAGATAGGATATTCTCCACCCACAAATATTCACTCTTCCAAATATTCACTTTGCTGAATCTGAAGCGTGAAATTCTTTCCCTTCAGGGCATAAATACAAATGAGACTCATCCATTCCCTTCCAAAAACACAAAACAACAACAGCAACAAGTTGTCGTCATCGTTGTCATCGTCGTCATCATCATCATCATCTATTCTCATTCAACTCTGTCCTTGTGGAAGGTCTTGCATATACACTGTCAGCTCCATTTCATAATCTTACTCTTTGAAAGGAATAATCTATACTGTCTCTATTTCATTTCATTGCTTATCATCCATTCAGTAGCTCATTCGTTTATAAATCTATTATAGTCTAACTTTCATCCCCACCTCTGTTTCAATTCTACTCTGACAAAAATCATGAAAAACCTCCTTTATTGCTTAATCCTAGGTTGTTTTTTATTCCATAACTGACTTGATCTGATTGTAGAATTTGATGCTATTAATCACCCCTTTCTTCAGCATTCATGAAAATATTTCCCCTTAGTTTCTATATTTTGGCCATTTCTCTTTAGTCCGTCCCATAATTTCTTCCTGCCATCTGAATATTGGTTTTCAGCAGAGTCCATAGGAGTCCCTGGTTTCTCCTTGTACCCACTCTCTTGAGGCATTGAGCCCACTACCATAGCTTTAACTACCACCTAGTGGTTAATGACTTCAAAGCTAAAGTGTCAGCCTAGACCATTCCCGAACTTCAGATGAATATATCTGACAACTCATGGCCATTTCTGCTGAAATATTCATAGAAACCACTAACTCAACTTCTCTAGAACTGAACTCAGTATCTGTTACATGTACCTAACCCTCCTCTTCCAATTTCCATCTCTCCTATTTTGGATTACTGATCTTGGCTACTTGAACTGCAGGTCCTTCCTGCTGTCTTCTGCCTTATCTGACCACTCATTACCACCCACCCCATTCATTACACCTCCCCATCTGAATTATCTGGCCTACTATTGCTGCTTATGAGTTAGATGATGTAAAGGCTATTAAATGGATGGATGGATAAATAAATGGATGAGGAAATGTACAAATGGGTACAAAACCATGCAGAATAACTCATCACAATCCTCTCCACTAAAAAGCTGCTCATTAGCTCATTAATAGGGTAGGGAGCTCTCCTTACCACAAATGCCTGACTGGCAGAGGTGTGTGTTTCATGGCCACGAGGGCACCACCCCAGTCTAGGAACCAGACATTGTACTCTTCATCAAAGATCTGGAACAACAACAACAACAACAACAATCATAGCAACACCTTACATTTGCATAGTGCTTAACAGTTTACAGTCTTTCACATATATTGTTTCATCTAGGTTCTGAGCCTTCCAACAGCACTATCAGATAGTTTTTGCAAGTATTATCTCCATTTGATTGATGAGGAAATGGGCTCACAGAAAACAAATAACTGTCCCTAGGCCACTCAAATTGCATTTCCAGGGCTCTTTCCACTACTAGTACTGTGAACCAGCATGCTACATGAAGGTGAAGCAACAAGGTGCATGCTCAACTAGGTAACCCAACGGAAGTATGACTTTGAAGAAACTTCCCTATCTTTCCAGCTAATTAAGTTACTACTCAGCCTTCTCTTCTTCCTCATCTATTCAGATGTTTGCTAATTTGTCAATAGTCTGTGTTTTATAGTGTTGTTTATACATTATCTAGGAACTTAAAAGACAATTTCCTACCCACTATGGTAAAACTAATAATTGAAATAGCCACCACCTCCCTGCAAGTTGGATGAAGACCCATGTTGGGTGTCTATGAATCCCTACTCTAAGTGGTCATTGAAACACAGTACTTCCAGGGACCTAACGTTATTCATTCTTTATTTCATCTATTTGTCTGTTACTTATCCATCCATTCACTCATTCATTCCCTTATTCAGTATTCCATCCAACCATCCATCCCTCCATCTACCCATAGGCATTTTCTAAGCACTGACTTCAATACAAGGTTCCGAGTTAAGAGAATTTCAGACCTAAGCCCACATATATCAATGCTTATACCAGATATGACTTTTATATCTCCAACCTTAAACAGGAAAACTATTTCTCCAGCAGAGAACTAATCTCGACTGTAGATCTTCTAGGGGAAAGTATGCTTGGAGAATTCCTACAGCACTTAACCACTGATGGTGGTTCATGCAGCCTAGATGGAGAAGTTGGGATGGTGGGTTAAGTGAAGAGGGCTAGAAGAGGATAAGGAGACGATACAGTCAGATTTAAGGGGTGAATGTGTAAGAGGAATGGGGCCTCCTATATATATGCCCCAGGGAACCTTAGAGAGAAAAGTAGTTTCTCAGTCCTAAACCTCTTTTTTTACATATTTATCTTCAAAGAAAAGAAAAATGTCCCTATTAATGATGAGCCCCAATGCACAAAGGACCTAAGGGTGATTCACTTATATTCCAGATATAAACATAGACTCTGAGTCTGCAATGTTAGGCTTTTCTCTCCAGAGCTTAAAGGATGGTTCTGTGATAAGCCACATAATGGAGATGCTGGGTTGAACCCTAAGAATGAGGAACATAGGAAGAGGCACTGGGGAGGAGGGAGAAGTTATCCTTATCCTTTCCTCTTAATTTTACCATCTGGCCACTGCTCATTTTTGCCCTGTCTAGTACTGGAGTGAAAAAGTGGATTCCTTAGCTGTTTATGAAAGGAGGAAAGAAAAAGTAGTGACAACGTTGGTCAAGTGAGCTACTTCTTGAGGTAGAGAGATCTCCAGAAATGGTTTGCCTATGAGGAGATTTTTTTTACCAGATGAGTTTGTATTCCAGCTTCCACCCTCCTTTGGCTCTCGTAATAGGTTATTTTACATTTTGAAGGGTATGATCTTATTTATGTATCTGCTCCCCAGCCACCTGATTATGGCCTTGTGGGTAGGAACCTTAACTTATTATTGACTGTGTGCCTTGCAGTACTTGACATAGTTGCTTTTGTCTCGTAAGTACTTGTTAATTTTTACAACGCTGGTAGTGCTGACACTGGAGGCAATGGGGATGATGATGATGGTGGTGATGACAATCTTCACTAAGGGATCCAAACAGGAACTTGTCTAACAAGATATTCATTGTCTTTCTCTTGTCTTCTCCACGGAGAAACTGTCTCACTTTTAAGACTTAGTAAAATGCCTCCCCTCCTTGTGATGTCTTTCCTGGTTTCTCCAGCAGGATCAATTCGTCTCTTTTCTTTGTATGCTAATAATGCCACTAAAATATTATTATCACCCTGAATTATAGTTATCTAGCTACGAACCCATTTCTCCTATTTAATTTTGAGCTTTTTAAGGAAAGGGACTCCAAAGTATTCAATTACCTCCTGGAGCCTGACACCTAGTTGACACTGTATAAGTCTATTTGTCCAATATAGTAGCCATAAGAGAGTATTTAAATTTAAATTAATTAAAATAAATAAAATTAAAAGTTAAGTTCCTCTGACACAGTAGTCATATTTCAAGTGCTCCATAGCTGCATGGACAAGCACAGATACAGAACTTTTCCATCATCGCTGAACATTCTATTGGACAGCATTGCTGTAAGTGTTTGTAAAACTGAATTAACATTTCATGCAGTCATATATCTGTTTCATACTTACTCATATATAAGCATATAAGCTGTTTCATACTTACTCAAGACAGTCTATACAATACTTAAACAACCACTGACTTCCATGGCTTTGTCAGTTTTAATGTTCCAATCCTTGCATTTTGTAGATACAGAAACACATCCCCAAAGGTGAAGAGACCAGCTTGCCAAGAACTCTTGGCACACTAATGATAAAAACAGTTTCATCAGTTGTATCCCCAGCAACCAGCACAGTACTTAGCATCTGGACCTGTTACATACATATGGCTGAAGGAAAGAATAAGTGAACTGGGAAAATTCCAGTTCCTCCTATTCCCTGCCCAATGCCCTTCTCATTATACCCCATTACCCCTCTAACCTGCCAGCCAAATTGACCAAACTGAACAGCTGCTTCAAATGTTTTGAAATTACAAAGTCATAATGAGGCTGAGAATCTATAGGATGGAGAGAGAGATTGGTAGAACTTACTCTAAATGCCTCCTCCCTTTTTGTCAATTCACCCAGTTACCTGTCTCCATGTGTTGCCCCCATCGGAGGAGATGAACACACCAATATCAGTATATGAGAGCTCCGGGCCAATGTTGCCTGAAACATAAGCAGATCATTTGAGATTGTCAGGAGTTTACCAATTAAGTGTGCTTAGGGCTGAGGGATGGGGGAGCAGAGAGTAAAGGTTTTCTAAGTGATATTTACAGCTAATTTGTGCAGTTTCTTTTCTGGTGTCATATCAAAAGCCCAGCAGGATGAAAAACCCAATATGGGAAAAAATCTAAATAGTATGACAGAAATGCATCATTCAATGTCATGAGTCAAAGACAATATCGATTAGTCCAGGTCTCTTGAATTATTCAGTCTGTATACCAATAATCTCTCACATTGCTCCTGACAGGTGTCCCCTGAAGGAAGCAAAGAGTGGAAGAGTAGACACATATGGAGAAATCTGGCATAGGAGCCTGAGAAAAACTGGTGTGTGTGTGTGTGTGTGTGTGTGTGTGTGTGTGTGTATGTGCGTAACTGTGTGTCTGTGTGTATGTTTGAAACTTGTCAGAATGTCCTTTGAGTGCCAGGCAGTTGAGTGACCCAATGGTACAGATTATGTAACCTAAATTATACGGTGCCCAGAAGAAGATGACCACACTCAGCATACCATGGCCATCAAGCATGGCAGCAAAACAAGTCACCTGGCTTATGCCTAGACCAACCATACTTGCTGCTTCCATCCCTTCACACTCTCCTCTCTGCCCTTCTTTTTCTTCCCCTGGCACTCCATCACCTTGTGGCTATGCTTATTAAAAAGAAAGTGGTCAAGCTTTTCTAGTCCATCTATATTGATTTCGTTTTCCCAATGAGCAGCCCTCTTCTCACAGCCTAAAAGAGGCCCCCAACCTAATAGTGCTCAATAAATAATTGTGGAATGAATGAATGGGAAAACAAATGATTGGATCATGTTCCAATGTTGATGTGCACTTGAGGAAGTTCTGACAACCAGGAAGGAACCCTAAACATGTAAGAGTTTATCTTACTGGCTGATATTTTTTCTTTAAAAATAGCAGGAAGAGAATGTTAGCTCCCACACATCTGTAGCCTAAATAGGAGCACAACAAAAATGCAATAATGAAAATGTTAATTGAGCTCCTGACATTTAATGCTTCAAGATGAGAAATTAAAGCCAGGCTACAGCTTGTCAAGCTTCCATCAGCATCAGGAAGCACACAGATAGCCAACTTGTTTTGAGACTCAAGATTTCAAAAATAACCCCTGGGCTCAGGGCTCAGGGTTCAGGCAGTAGGTGTGGGAGGAGTAGGGAGAGGCTTGGTGAGTAGATCCATGGAGTTCTGTCTGGAATTTGGAATTCAACTCCCCAGATACAGGTTTTAGAAGACACAGGTAAGGAAAGTAAAGGGAAATGGGGAGGAGAATATCAACTCGAGTCGCTTAGTGGTTGTGCTAACCTGGAGCATTGTGTTAAGAAGGATTCTTTGGTTTTGACAGAATAGAATGTGGTGGTGATCAACAGATGTCTACCAAGGGTGACAGAGAAAGAGGGAGGCAGGAGCACTGTTGCTCCAGAGCTGTGTATCTTCCATCCCTGGCATGGCTTCTAAGGATCTAGCTTATCATCCCTCACCTTCCTTAGAAGCTGGTTCTGTCAACATCTTTAGCCTCTCTTTCAAAGCTCGACTAGATGGATTTTGGGGGCCTTATGGTGGTAAGAACCCAAGGCTCACAGTGAACTCTATTTGTGGAAATATCTTCTGTCAATTGAAGAGACCTCTGAAAGAAAATGTTACGGATCACAGAGACCAGAAAGTTGGTTCCCAGATGAAGGGACAGAAAAGATGTACCCAGGAGGAGTTGATCTTTGAACATGTACAGTCCTTAGGTGGCTCTGTGGGTGATTTCTGATAGGAAGAGCCGGAGTTATGGTGTCAGAGAAGGAGGATTTGAAAAATGAGCCTTGCTGGCTGAAGTGGAATTGGAGCTCAGCTAGAGTGGCTGCCAACCATGTTGGAAGAAGGGGATGCAGCTGTTGCCCACTTGAGTGGTATGATGAGAGAGGAGGGAGAGTGAGATGGAGAAGAAGAACTGGGATCTTTTCTCACCAACAGCTTTGCTGGTAAATGATGGAGGGCCCATTGCCCTTTTTGGAAGTTTTAAACAACTTGCTTTCACCCTCATTTCCTCCCAGTGCTATCCTTCTCTGCTCCTTAAATATTAAAAAAATAAAATAAAAGGGAGAGAATATTGAAGTCCTCTGAGGGCTAGCTACGCTTCTCTCACCACCACTCATGCCAGAGGGAGTTGCTGCCCATACAGGGTGGCTACAGGCTCAGTTGGGGAGGAAGCTGACAGTATACAAGCAACTTGCCCCTGCAGGGGCAGGGGCGGGAGGAGGGCCTCCACAGAAAGAACAATAGGAGGGTGTGAACATTCAGAGTTTACAGGAAGTTTGGCAGGGGGTCTGGTTAGCTGTGGAGCTGGCACGGAAAGGGGCTCAGAGACGGGTCTGGCTGAAGGGCTACAGAACAGAGTACTAGAGGTGGAATCAGAGAGATTGTGGGCTGGGACATGACACCTGTTTCCACCTGCCCACAGTCTCTTCATCTCTAAATTGAGGAGTATAGTAATTGCCATTTCTACATCATCGTGCAGTTATGCAATCAAGGCAAGAAAAGCAAGCTTTGGATGCTGTAAGGCACTGCAAGGATGTGAGGTCTTTATTACTAGCTTGAAACCACAGTGTTAAGGATATTAGGAACCCTAGTGTTTCTGCTTGCAAAAGGCAATTGCCAAACTCTCTATACTAGATTTCCATCTGCCTTCGGAGATGTCCTCAACCAGGAGTTAAGAGATGAATCCCAGGGTATACTTTTATCCACGCAGCTTCCCTGAGACCACATCTCAGTGCAAAGTGGGAAAAGGGAGTCAGCAGTGGGAGTGGAGAGAGCCCAGGGTGACTGACACCTGAAGGGCAGGTGGAAGGCATGGATATGGGAAAGGACCCTGCAGGGGCAGGCTCCATGCAGGCCACTGAAGGCATAATTGGCTGACGTCATAGTTATCTTCCTGATGGCAAATAACCTCCCAAGGTGTCCAGGGCAAGCAGGGTAAGGAGAAGCTGGGTATGAAGAGGCACGCGCCAGTGACTTAGCCCTGGCTTTTCATCAGGATCTCATCAGCTGAGTTATATCCCTCCCAAAGATCCAGGGCATGGCAAAAAGCCTCAAGAATTACAAGGGGAGATAAAAAGAAATTAGCAATTCTGATACATATGGGACAAAAAAATTCAAAAATAAATCTTTAATGTCTGTGTGTTTGCTAATTTACAAAGTACTAATTTAGAAGCAATATGCTGGTCACAGGTAATAACAACTACCATTAATACTACCTTATGATGCTCTGTGCACTCTGCTGGGTCTTATAGACACATACTTCCATCTCTAATTTTTACAACACCCCCACAGTTTTACAGATGAGAAAAATGAAGCTCAGAGTTTAAAAACTAAGCCAAATGCACAAACCTAATAAGTGTCAGGGCTCAGCCTGGAAAGCAGGAGGACAAGTTTCCTGAGTTTCTCTGTGTGCATAGTGCATGCATCGGATTTATGGATTTATTGAAGGAGATGAGCACATTATATTCTTCTGATGTAAGAAGAGTTTTAACTTCTATAACATTAATGATGATAAGTAACACATAGTGAGTATTCAATATGCCCCAGGCACTGTTCTAAGCATTTTATTCATTTATTTATTATTTATTGAGCCAGAGTCTCACTGTGTCACCCAGGCTGGAGTGCAGTGGCACCACCTTGGCTCACTGCAACCTCTGCCTCCTGGGTTCAAGCAATACTACTGCCTCAGCCTCCCTAGTAGGTGGGACTACAGGCATGCACCACCACACCTGGTTAATTTTTGTATTTTTGGTAGAGACGGGGTTTCACCATGTTGTCCAGGCTGGTCTCAAACTCCTGACCTCAGGTGATCCACCTGCCTCGGCCTCCCAACATGCTGGAATTACAGGCATGAACCACTGCGCCTGGCCATTGTTCTAAGCATTTTAAATTCATTGTTTCATTATATCCTGCAATTCTATTATTTTGGTACTATTATGCCCACTTTGCCAATGAAAACACTGAAGTTCAGAGTGGTCAACCCACAAAGAACAATGCCTGGCTACACACTAAATATTCAGATAATATTAACTTTTATCATTCATCCCTACTTTTTGATGTAGCTTCCAGTTCAGACCTCCTGTAGGTCTTGAGGAGAGGCATAGGGTCCCGCAGCCCTTGAGTTGGAAAAACCAATCCACATGGATTGCAGAGTGTGAGGATCACTTCTCCAGCTAGGGGAACAGCAACTGAGCCTGCCTTCATCTCTCCTCAGCCTGGGCTCCCTGAAGCCAGTGGTATTAAGCATAGTGGGCTTGCTTAATACCACTGTGGTGTCAACCATCTGGGGTTGACAGGAGTTGACTAACATGCCAGAAGGCTATGCCAGCTGTCAATCTGATGAGAGTGGTTCATCACTGGTGGTATCTAAAAGCTCACACAGTTGGAGGCTTGGAGAAGGAAGCCATGCCTAGAGAGTAGGAACTCCAGGGACCAGAGCTTTGGGTTGATGAGAGAAAACAGAATGTACCAGCTCCGAAAGTCACTGTGAATTTATCTGCTTTCATTAGAAAAATAAGCTGACCAACACCGGAGCTCTAACTTCTAAGATTAGCAGGCTGCCTTCCTTTATGCCATCAATGTATTCTTGAAAAGGTGTATGGAAATGCAGTGCATGCTAATCAGAGCATACTCCCCGGAGACTTTAGCTTTCATCTCAGAGTTGCTTTATCTTCATCTCTGACTGATGCTCAGTGGACAGTGATTCCAACAATGCAACCTTAAGTTTTTCTGCCCTTTGCCCTCAGGCTCTCAGCCAAGGGGTTAACCATGTGTAAACAAGCCTTTACATGCACCTGATTAAAAACAGCTCTGGGATGGAACCCTTTGTAAAGAATCATCTGTTCAAAGAGAAAACTACCCCAACTTACATCTGGTGAGCTAGGAAGTTCATATATCATGTTTTCTTAAAGTGTGGATTCCCTATTACAAACAACCATTCTGATTGGTCAGTTTACTTTGAGAGAAACTCTGGCCTCTTCCTAAGCACAGGGGACTGCTCTGTGTCTGGGGGGAAGATGCATGAGCCTAGGAATTACAAATGTCTGGAGCTCTTTGCATGTTAGGTTCTTAGATGGGTATTGAGGAACCCTGCATATTTTCTGGGGCGAGTGCTCACAGCTTTCATCTGATGCTCAAGTGAGTCCATGATCCAAAAAGAGGTGACAAATTTATTCTAGACACTCTCAGTAAGGAAGAAGCACAGGGAATGTTTTTCTTACCTGTAGCCACCACAAGTCCTGGGGCTGTCTCCTTGCTAGAGATTCTTCCTGAGGAATATGGATTTTCAGAGAGTTGCAGGTGCAGATGTAAGGAACAGAAGGGCTAAAATGGAGAAAGAAATAGTTTCATTCTAGGAAATTCCAGACACCTGTACCCCTGCCCCACTAGAGATGGGCTTCCCGATGTTCAGCTCCCAGAAATAGCAAGGCATTGGATGGTGAGTCACACAGTTTTGGGCAGGAGATATCCGCACCTGAGATAGCTGGTATGCTCACATTAGAAGCTCCACTGAGTACCTTCCATAAACCCCCTCCTGCCTCTGCCCCCCAACCACAATCTCGTGCCTTTCCCTCTCTTCCTCACCCAACCTATCCAAGTTCCAGTTCATGGCTGGCTTTATGAAGCCTCCTTGACCATTCCTTCTACCAGGATGACACTAACATTCTCGCATTTCTGATCTTGACCATCAATTCTGCTTCTTGGAGTTGTAAGGGCCCTCTGGGAGGAGTGAAGAGTGGAAGCTATGTGAACTAGGCCAGGCCCTCCACCTTCTTCAGCCAGATTGTCTCTGTCTCTGTTTTATATATTTTGTTCTTACTTATAATTTTACTTAAAATATTTGAAGCCATCATCTAAAACCTATATAAGTCTGTGTTCTCTATTTATTCATTTATTTATTCATCTATCCCCATTGGAGTGTTCTTAAAAGGGCTTGGGGATTTACAGAGACATATTCTGTACAACAAATACAAATAAGAAGATGAAGAAATAGAAAGAAAGAGAAAATCAGATTAAAATAAGATGAAGCCATGGGCAAGGTTTGAGGAAAAAAAAAATGCATGCTGTGACCAATTCCTAGAGGTAAGCAGGCATTTCTCTCTGACCCTCCTAGTACCTGAAGCAAAAATTATATGGAATAAGGCTGAAAATTACAAAGGGAAAGAGCGCTATTTGCTGTATTTACCATTGTAGTCCCAATTTTTAACATAGGGTCTAGAATAAGATAAGTGGTTAATAAATCTTTCTGAATAAGTGGCAAGAGGAAACTTTTTGCTCAGAAGAAACATAACCATTTCTGGGACCTTAGAATTGTTTCTTACAGCAGTCCTTATTCAGAGGGCACTGAAGATTGTGGATTTTATTGTTAATGAAGCCTCTTGCCTCCTCACACAGAGCAGAAGCACCTGGAGCCAGAGATACCATCTCACACATCATGTCTTCCATGGTGCCTACCCCAATATCCCATACAACAGGAATCCTGGAAATGCTGATAGATTAACTGTCCCATATGGACATTCCAGCCTAAGCTCCCCCTGGATTCTCAAAGCAACTTTTGCTTGCCTCAACATCTAGCAAGCATTTACCAAAACACAATGCATCATGTTAGTATCAGTTAATAGATGTATTACTACTACTGAGCTGTGCCTGGGACCCTTGAGTACAGGCTCCTTCTCTTATATGTTTATTTGCCTTACTATGAGATGGAGCACATAGTAGATCCTCATTAAATGCCTGCATAATTCAACTGGGCCTTTCACCCAATTGGTGCTGCACTCTGAGTCCACACACCAATGCCCTGCAAGTTTTAGAAAATTACTGCTCTGCACCACCTGAGTTCCTAAGACCCTTTGACGAAACAAAGCCCTCGACACAGCTTCTGCAGGTGGCCAGCCTGCCCTGTGAACTTCCCATGAGGCTGAGTGACTGACCAGCAGGCAGTGCACTGGGCTTCCTCTCAGGTCCACATCCGGAGCTTGCAGCAGGCGCCAATCCCTGCCTTTGTTGTAAGTGATGTATGTCTTCACCTGGTCGTCCACCTTCTTGTTTGCCAGAAATATCCCTTTGATACCTGCTACCTAGGAAAAAAGGTGAGAGATGGAGAACCATGCTGGGCCAACATGCCTTTGGTCTTGGAGAAGCCCTTAGAGAAGCCGCAGAATTTCCCACGGCATGTTGGGGTTCCAAGCAAGAAAAGAAGGAACATGATAGGAAACGTTGAATGCCATGTGGTCTCTGAAAAATGTTTAAAAAGTTCATCTCTGAACCTTATGTCACCCCCTAGATGTCCCTTTCTATGCTTACCCATCTGTTTTTTTCCCAGTTTGCTCGTCTCTGTACTTTGTTCCATAGGACTTTACCTTTAATTAACTATTAACATTCCCTCTGAGATGGGAGTGGCTGACAAGAACTGAAGGAGTTACCCCTTCCAGCAAACATGTTTTTCTGCTCAGAAGAGGCCTGTAGATGGGTATTTCATAACAATGGAAGTTGAGGCATTGTGATTAGTAGTAATGAAGATATCCTGGGGCAGATGATCCAGCTTGGAGGCCTGGCATCTGTCTCTTTCCATGCCACTAGCTCACTATGTGACTTTGGATAACTCCCATATCATCTGTGGGACTCAGCCAATGGTCGCTTTGAAATTGGTGGAATAAGCCCTATTCCTCTTCTTTTTCCCAGTTGGCTGGCAAAGGATCCATGAGACTATGCAAAGCACTCACCAGTGTTCCCATGTTTTGAGATTTGCACGCCTTTGATATTTTGACGGGAAAAGAGCATCACCACAAAACAAGCCGCTAGAGGATTAAAGGAGATTTATCACCCAGAAGGGTTCTAGGGTAAGCACAAATTCTACTCAAACTTTTATTCCTTATATTCTATATGCTGGGCAAGGAAAGCAGATACTTATAATGACAACATCCTGCATCAAAGAAAGATTCCCTTAACTCTTTTTCCATAGAAGTTATAGCATGTTTCAAAGGCAAATAGCAAATAGCATATTGCCAAAGGCAATTAAATTAGTTTAAATATATATAAACAATAGGTTCAATGGCAGGTTTTGTGGGTGATACTCAGATATCTTAAAGTTTTAATTGTATTTATCCCCCATTCTTCCAGTATCATGGTTAACTGAGGTTTACTCACTTCGGAGAGAATGCCCCAGTGGGAGAAAATGGTAAGAGTTTCACAGAAGTGAGCTTATTTTTTTGTTTTCAAATGACATAATTTAATTGACGAAATAAAAAGTCTTCTCTTCTTTTTTTAAGTAACCTGATTGGTCTTGAAAGAGAATGCCAGCCCAAATAAGAATAAACAAACAAACAAATGGACAGAGAATCTCAGGAGGAGAATAGAATTAACTGGAAGGACACCACCAGGGGAATTTGACAAAGGGCCAACAATGGAATTGATTAGATTGCTACCTGGAACAGTGGGTAGGTAAGCAGAGAAACCAAGGTAGGGCAGGGGCATGATGTCTGAGCCATGCCCTCCCTAGAGACCTCCTCTTTGCCCTAATGGCTTAAAGTCAGGGCCATTTCAGGAAGGACAGCATCTCAAATGCTCATCTAGGGACTATGAGCCCCTCAGATCACCTCAGTCTTTAAAACCAACTGCAAAGGTGCATCTCCTAAACCTGACTACTAATCATTCCTCACAGAGAATGGAATCTGGGATTCTCTAGAACCTTCTACCTGATGGAGGCCTTTCAGTGTTCTGTTTAGCCACAGAGCTGGTGCCTTTTCTGCTAGACCACCACCTAATGATTCCAGAGGACTCACTCCCCTAAACCAGTTACCCTCTCCCACAAGTACCCAGGGCCTTGCTATCCACTTCTTGGATGAAAATATTTGGATCAGACTCAGACACCTTGACCCCGGTTCAGTTTTTCCTGGGGAGCGGCTGTGGCCCCCTCTGATGCCCCCAGCTCAATGCATCACAGAAAGAATTCCAGCCACTCAGCAACCTCTTGTGATCTTCCAGGTGAGCAGGTTAACAAATTAAAGAATCATTACCATTACCATTACCATGTTTTCCGACTGAGCACTTCACCATTTGGACGGGCATTTTCTGTGTGTCCCACATATTCTGAGAACAAAACCAGGGGAATGGGGACTAAAAAGATGTAGAAAGGACAGACTCCCAGGGAACCCACTTGCAGCTGTGAGGATGCTTCTCCTGCAGTTGTACATAATGCCGCAGCAATCTCCTTCCCGTCTGAAACAAACGGAACATTTCCCACTTGTGTTTGGATAGTTCAAAGCCCTTACATTATTACTGAATCACTTTTTTGGCTTCATGTCTTGTATAAATGGACTGCGAGTTTGGAAGGCACTTGGCTTTTGTGTGTCCTAAGCCAACAGCTTTCACACTTTTTGACTGCAACCCAAGTAAGAAATACATTTATGTTGCAACCCAGTAGACTCATACCCATATATGCATGTATGTGTACACATGTATGTACACATATATTTCTAAGACAAAAGTATTATGAAGACTACGCACCCTCACTAAATGCAATGTAAAGGAATTGGAGAATGAGACATGCGTTTTTACTCATCCTCATCCAAGGAGCTACAAAGCATTGAATTAACTTTAAACATACTTCCACCCACTGTTGTTTGAAATCAGATGTTTGGCTGCTGCTGATTATTTCAGCAGTCCAGGGAGAAGGGTAACAGCTTGTGATGGTGCCCACGGAAGAGAACAATACAAGGTGTCTAGCCTGTGTGGCCCACTTTCCCTCTGGGAATCAATTTGAGTGCAGAGGGAAACTGACAGCAGGCCCCTTGGCGGAATGCTGAGTCCAGGTGGCATGGTCATCTGTTGGTCACCTCCCAGAGACCTCAGGACAAAGAAGCCAGGGCTCTGCTGAGAAAAGCAATTACCATGATCTGCCTTGGGCTGTCCCTAGAGTCCCACCTGTGGTGAGGGGCTGAGGAAGGTTGGTTCAGGGAAAAAAGACCCTGTGGAGTCTCTAAGCAGCTGTCCTTCTGGCCCGATAAAGGTCACTGAAGGTCCTGATAAAGCAGAGGGAAGATGACAGGCTCTAGGGAGAGGAAAGGCAAGGAAACATCAATAAGATGGGCAAAGAGACCAGAATACTGAGGCTGGATGGGAAGTTTCTTTTTTTTTTTTTTTTTTTCAGATGGAGTCTCACTCAGTCACCTGGGCTAGAGTGCAGTGGCACCATCTCAGCTCATTGCAACCTCTGCCTCCTGGGTTCAGGCAATTCTCCTGCCTCAGCCTCCTGAGTGGCTGGGATTATAGGTGACTGTCACTATGCCCAGTTATTTTTTTGTATTTTTAGTAGAGATGGGGTTTCACCATGTTGGCCAGGCTGGTCTCAAAATCCTGACCTCATGATTCGCCCGCCTGGGTCTCCCAAAGTGCTGGGATTACAGGTGTGAGCCACCGCGCCCAGCCTCGAAGTTTCATTTTATCCATCCAGGTATACTGGGTCCAGTTATTTAGTCACTGAAGAAAAGCAAATCACACCTGCGATGAGTTACCACTAAATCCCCATCGGAACAGCTACAAACACACACACACACACACACACACACACATACACACACACTCTCTCTCTCTCTCCTCTCTCTCTGTCAAACCAAGCAAGTGTTGCTGAAGATATGAAGCAACTGCTACTCTCATACCTTGCTGGTGGAAATGCAAAATCCCACAGCCACTTTTGGAATAATTTGGTGGCTTCTTATAAACATATACTTACATTCAACTCAGCAATCCTACTCCTAAGTATTTACCCATGAGAAATAAAAATTTATGGTCAAGAGAATGTTTATAGATATTTTATTCATAATCACACAAAATTTTAAAAAGTAACCTAAATGGTCTTCAGCTGGTGATTGAAAAACAACCTCTGTCACATCACACAACAGAATGCTGCTCAGAAACAGAAGGAACCAATATATTCAACAATGTGGGTGAATCTCAAATGCATTATTCTAAGCAAAAAAAAGTCAGACTGAAAAGGTTACCTACTGTATAATTCCATTTACTCACCCTCTAGGAAAGGCAAAACTAAAGACAAAGAGAGGGCAGGTATGTGTTTGTCGGTGACTTTGGGGTAGAGAAGGGTGGACTACAAAAGGGCAATAAGGGAATATTTGGGGTAATGGAACTGTTCTATGTCTTGATTGTGATTTGTGCACAATTTACACACCAGAATGCACAAATCAAAACTCACAGAACTTATACTAAAAGGGTAAATTTTACTATACATAAATTATACCTCCATAAAAATGCAAAAAAAAATTAATAGTGAGAAAAGCCTAAGTGGTTTGTCAAGCAGACGTGGATTTCTTGAAAATGTAGCACCACTAGCTGTGTGATCAGAGCCAAGCCACTAAATTCTCTGCATCTCTGTAATCTCACAGGCACAATGAAGAATGTGATATTGTGAGAGATAAATAAGAAAAAAATATATAAGTTGTTTACGACTGTGCAATCCAAAACAGTAGCCACTGGCCACATATGGCTTGAAATGTGGCTACGGGAACGAAGAAACTAATTTTTAATTTTATTTCATTTTAACCCATAGAAATTTGAATTGAAGAACTGATACCCATTTCAGTTATTGGCAAACTTTTAAGTTTGTTGAGAATAACTTGGGTATGTGAATCTTCTTTTTTTACTGTAAATTTATGAAATGTTAAATACCGATCAAGTATTTCTGGTGAAAATTTAGCATATAAATTGAGATTCATGGGACATGTAAAATACATCCAGGATTTTGCAGACTTATTATGAAAATTAGTATGGAAAAATATAAAATAACTAAATAATTGTTTACATTGAACGTATACTGAAATGACATTTTAGATACTTTGTTTAAATAAAAAATATTATTAAAATTAATTTTGTCTGTTTGTTTTTTACTTTATAAAATGTGGGAAGCAGAAATGTGGAAGTGTGTATGTAGCTCACCTTATGTATGTATTTGACAGTGCTGGTCTAAAGCATTGCCAGGTATGCTGTGGTTATTATTGTAAGGAGTTATAAGTTAGATGCAAAATATCCAGGAGAGCATTGAAGAAAATGTATCACACCGGCAGCTCAGAGAATGCTGCCATAGTATAACTGCGGGTGTTGGAAAGAATATTTGTTTCTTGATTTATTAGGGAGAGTAATTAAAAAGAAATGTAGTTTATAGCTGGGGATGTGAAGACACTGCAATAGAGCTCTATATGAAAAGAGTGTTACGAGAATAATGGTAAGTACACACAATAGGCTACATTCGCTGTCAATACCAGCCTTGTTTTGAAGGAGTCGGCTTGACATCTCAAAGAAGAGATAGATTATTACTTGGCCTTCAAGTGTTATTTTCTCCCCTAATTATGTAATTATAGTCATGACAACATTGTACTTTGAAGCAGGAATTTGAGAAAGAACAAGCAGGAGAATCTCTCTACAGCAGGAGACAACTCCAACAGATTTGAAATGGAAATTATCTCAGCCTTGTTAGATTTTGGGGAGTTCAGTGGGGTTGATCTCCATTGGTCCAAGGATTTTTCAGTGCCAAGGCTTGCAAGGGGAATTTCCAAATAAGTTCTTGCTTTCTTTGTCTCCTCTCCATTACCAAGAAGAAGCTTCAGAGGTCCATGCAGAAGATGGAGTGATATACCTGTGGCTTAAGTGGGCAAGGTCAGCCCAAGCTACCTGATATCTGAAAATTACCTAAAGACATCTCTGAACCTTTGAGTCAAGGGGAAACAGGTGTAATGTCCTATTCTAATATAAAGTTACAAATTAACCTGGCACAAGGGACTACATCACACGTGCGAATATTTTCTGGGTATGTAAATATGAGGGGAAAAAAGATAAAGAAATACTAGCCCATAGCATAAATGCCTGAATCTTCAGTCAGCTTTTTACCAGTATATTTACAATCTTCATCCCCACTGCTCCACAAGGCCACTCAACATTTCATAAAATAGGATCCCTACTCATTCGACTCTGGTTCTCTTCTTATTTCCAACAATTTGTCTATAATTAAGCCAAACTCATCTATAAGTCTCTCCAAATTACTCAAGTTAGAATTATTCTTTTGTAACTCCACAACCTGGTGGAATCACACCTCTAATACAAGTTAGACTGTGATAATTACCCTAATAGAGTCACTTGTATCATTCCAGTAATTATGAATCTCATGCACCAGTCCTAACATCATCAAACAAAATACACTCCATAAAAGTGTGCTAATTTAGCTGAATTGAATGTGAAAACTTACTGTTTTTCTCAGTTGCATTACTCAAGGGCACTTGGAGTCCAGAAAAGTTGTAGTCTCTTTGCTAACTGGCCGTATGGTACATAATCACAGTTTCTGTGAGAATTTCCAGTAAAGAAGGTTAAATTCTAATGACCCCTAGAGACCAATTAAATTGAGCTTTATCTCCAAACCACAGAATGTATCTCCAGGTGCAAAACAGCATTACCCTCTAAAAATCTTCAGTATGGTCATGGTCTAGATAACATCAGGTTCCAATTTATTCACTTGGTATTACATGTTTTCTAGAATCTGAAATTCAGCTATTTATCCAGCCCTCATTCTTGTCCCTGACAAGCATTTATTCCACACAATTAGCCTGGCTAGCTTACTTTCTCACAAATCAGCACCATCCATTCAGTCCTTGGCTCATTCCATTCCTACGTTTGGAATGCCTCCTTCTTCTTCACTATTTCCTCCCCAGGGCAAAAGGACTGACAGTCAGAGTGGTAACGTTGAAAAGAAGAACTGCGCATGTACAGCTCATCCCCATACCCCTGCCCCTCTTTTAAGGATCTGCCTGCACAGATCACATCCTTTTTACATCAGTGCTGCGGTGTCATAGGAACAGGCTTCCATAAGACAGTCTTTGATTTATCATTTCTGTCTGGGACTGAATGGATGAATTCAATTCTGGGGTACAGCATTATCAATCCCACTTCCTTGTGCATAATTTTTAAAAGCAATAAAGCTGTGTTTGATATCCATTTGTCTTGCCCTTTGTTGCTGTCCTAATCGGTTCCAGCATTGACCAGGTAAATAAGGAACTTTGTTTATTGACCCCCTCAAAACCCAACAAACTAGATTGCAAACTCTCTGAAGGTAAAAACTAAGTCATAACTCTCCTGCCTTCCTCATGGGCTTGAACACAAAGCAGGGGTGCGATCAATCCTGCTAAAATTGAATGGAAAACAAGATCAAGAAAGCTGTTTTATTTTTAAAGTTGCCCTGTCTGTTATGTCTTCTCTATAGATGCAGTGACACCATGCATTTTTTTCTTCAATAAGACTGAAAACACAAGACCAACTTAAGTGGAAAGAAAAAAATTGCATGGATCTGGGCACATTCTTCATTTTGATTCATGCCTCATTCCATATCACTGTGTCACACTGTTGTAAATGACCAAGGAGTTTCAGGCACCCCTTCTTAGAATAAGAGAAGCATAGTGGCAAACTCACCCACTGTACCAAGAGGATCAGAGACACAAGAATTTCTTGACTGCAAGGTCATCTGCAGCAATGCCCACCCACCCCTATTTGGGTCTGATCACAGGGACATGAATCACAGTCTTATCTCTATGGCTTTACTTGTACAAACAGGAACTTGGAATGGCCTCAGTCCTGGGAACATTAATCCAAACCCTCAAACAAGATGTGACTTATTGTCCAATAACAAAGTTATATTTCTGCCTCCTGGTATGATTAGAGGCATAGAAATGTAAGCTTCCCAAAGGTATTTACTCCCCTTAGTCATCTCTACTAGTCTCCACACCTCTGTAAAACAATCTGGAACATTTCCAAAACTGGGACCTTGTTGTTTAAGGGAATTATTTCAGCACTTGTCAGTTACTCTCTAGGAAATCAGGGTATTTCTACGATTTTGTTTTCTACCGAATGACATTCACTCCTTCTTTTAAAATGTACATTCATTTGCCCCATGCCTTTATGTTATCATCTCTCTGCCTAACAGAACAGGTGCAATCTTAAATATTTCTGCCACTCTCAGTGTATTAGTCCATTCTCACACTGCTACAAAGATACTATGAGACTGGGTGATTCATGAAGAAAAGAGGTTTGATTGACTCACAGTTCCGCATGGCTGGGAAAGTCTCAGGAAACTTACAATCACAGTGGAAAGCAAATGGGAAGCAAGGTATGTCTTACATAGTGGCAGGAGAGAGAGAGGAAGTGAGGAAGTTCCACACTTTAAAACCATCAGCTCTTGTGAGAACTCACTCACTATCATGAGAACAGTATGTGAAAACTACCCCTATGATCCAATCACCTCCCACTAGGTCCCTCCCTCAACACGTGGGGACTACAATTCCAGATGGGATTTGGGTAGGGACACAGAACCAAACCTTATCACTCAGTAACTGAGTAGCCAACTTAGATACCAATTTAGGGCTGCTGGGATTTTGACAGGCACTGCTTAGAGGAGACCACTATAAAGTAGAAACCCATGCATGTAGCCACTCCCACTCCTCAATAGGAAAACCCACAAGGGAACAGCTCACCCAGCTCTGAGGCCACCACCCAGAATAGACAACGTATCTCTTTCTGTGAATGATCTCAACCATCACAGTCTGTATGGGTGTGGCCACTGGTTACTGGTGAATATTGGATAATGAGACACACCTTCATTGCTCAACTCAATCCTCCATATCCAGGTGGTCAGTCAAGTTCCTTCACTGGGTCCAGGACTGTCAAAGGTCACATACTGTCACTATAAAAGGTACCACATCTTTTAGGTCACTGAAAATAGTTTCTTTTTTTCTCTCTTTCTCTCTACAGTTACTACATGGAGTCACTTGGTTTCTTAGTAAATTATTCTTTAATTAGTTATCACACTTTTTAACAAGCTTAATATAAGTGACACACTTATGTCAAGGCCAGTTTTTTACCCTGCATAGATGTCGGCATCTGGTGGAATCTTAGAAAAACTCTCATTCCCACCACTGATATTCGCTTTTATTTTCCCATAAAATTTGTTCATAAAACAGGACTTTCCAAATAATTTAAGGCACATAAGTAGCACCACTCCCTCCATTCAGGGTCCACAAAAGCAACACAGAGTTTACAAAGCTACTTAAAAAATCACCTAGGCCAAATACCTTAATTTCTGTCTAGTAATCAATTGTTTATACATACAAGAATACTAACTTTGTTGAGTCAGCCACTACACTAGATGCAGTATATCCATCATCTCTCATCTCACAATAATCTCCTTGGTAAATATTTTATCTCTATTTTACTAGAATTGAGGCATATAGAAGTCCCTTGCCCAAAGTCATACAATTGCTAAGTGGTACAGCTGGAATCTGAACCCAGAACTCCAGTGCTTGTGTTTATACCATTAAAACTCAGGAAAAAGAGAGACAGACCCAAGGGAAGGAGAATTTTGGCTACATACCTCATACAATTCAATAATGATGTTCCCCATTAGACCTCTGCTGCTCTTGATGTTCTCCATGGCCAGAGTGAAGTAAATCCCACGCGTGTCTGAGATGTAGAGGTTGTACGTGTCGTTCTGGTTCCATTCTTGGACCGCAGCAAATACTTGGTTCTCGTCTGTACTGATGATGTGCATGTCCTGAAAGAAGATGGAAGGCTTGTAAGGCAGCAGATCTCCATATCTCTCTGCCCATTGGGATGCCAAGTAATTACTATGACTTATGAAATTGCTGAGAAAAAGCTTGAGTTATAGGCAATGTTAAACAATTCCATGTTGAACCAAGGCTATAAATTATAAGCTTCATGATTTCTGTTCCTTGCTAAGTGACAGCAAAATGGGTGTTAGGGGCTTTGGTTGATATCATTTCCCATGGCTTTCAAGGATTCATCTACTTTCATTTTTTATTGTTATACCTAAAATTTAAGAGTTAGTGCCAACAGAGACAGACACCCTTGCTAAAGGAAGCTCACACATGCAATGAAGACAGAGCCTATCTTGTCATTAGATATTCATTTATGTTTTTAAATTCTGTAGTATGGTGGTTTACACAGTTTTCTTTAAAATCTTCAGAGTCATGAGGATTGCCAGAAATGTGGCATGGAGGTATAACCAATGAGTGGGGCTCTAGACCTGCAATCCTGTTTCAATCAGAGCAGAAAATATTTGCATCTGTTGTATACAGTGGAATTCTGTGTAATATTTTAGGAGCAAAAGGTAAGGGAGGTTCTGCTGCCAATGAAATTATGTTGAAGATCACTGATATAGAGAAAAGGATACTCAACCTGGAATTTAATGTTCTGGGTCAAAATACAAGCACTGCTGTGAGTAAGCTGCATGATGCTGAATGTGTCAGTTTCTCTGAACTTCAATTTTCTCACCTAGTGAAGAGGTTGGATTTCTTTGGGGACTATTCTAAGCCATCTAAATGTATTTTTTCAATTAAAAATGAAAATAATTTTGTGAGGGAGGTGGTATGATTATTCCCATTTTACTGAAGAGCAAACTCAGGCACACAGAAGTTTATCAATCTGTTTCAGATTATATGGCTATCAAATGGCAGAACCAGCTTTTAAACCTCTGTGGTCTGACTCCAACATAATGGATGGTTTCCAGTCACTGGATATATCACCTCTAGATTAGAGATTTCAAACTGATGACTCATGAAGTAAATATGAATCACAAATGTTTAGCTTGGCCATATTCTGTACCAAAAACCAGAGTCTCTGGTCTTTCAGATGGAGTCAGGACCCCAAGTTAGGGTCTCAGCCCTCTATATCCATATGTTCTTACGGTCCGCCACTTACATACTGATGTTAACTTCCTGGGTCCTGACATCACTTTAGTTTTAATCCCGGACTGGATCATTTTTATTTTTTTAATTAAAAAAAAATTTAAAGACAGGGTCTTGCTCTGTCTGGATCATTTCTAAAATCACACCTAGTAGTTTACAATGCCAAGTAATTTATAGAAGCCCATTTGCCTGTGTAGGTAGGCACTGTACAAAGATTATCACAAATTTAAGCCCTTACCTAGAGAACTTACACAGTCAGGAGGACATGGATAATCATTTGCCAAAAAATGGAAGGAGTTAAAAACTGCATAAACATACTGGTGTATATGCCAAAGAGTAATAGATAGCAGAAGGAAAGGCAACCGTGTTGCTGTGATGGAAAGCACTGGTAAAAGGATGATGGGGGAGTGGAGTTGACTGTAACTTAATAATCAGGCAGGGTCTAGCCTTTACTGTGTTTGACCAACCTTTCCTAGAAACCGTTTCAAGTAAAAAGAAACAGCAATGTCTGTAATGTCAGCACCACAGAGAGCTCCTCCAAGATGATTTATAAAGGAGTAAACCCATTTGATTTGGACAACCTGGAGATGAGAGAAGTAGAAAAGCAAGTTCTGGATCTTTTTATTGAAGATTCTTTGTCAAATCTCAGCCTCTGGCCTTGAACTGTCTGGGTCACCTTGACTAAGACCTCACTTGCTCATTTGTGCTTACACACCTTGTAGAATTACAGGTTCCTGCTGAGCTGCTTGAAAATGGGAAAAAAAGCTTACTCTTAAAAACCGTGTGATGAAGTCGTGTTGTGTTGGTGTGGAATGAATGCCGAAGAACCCAGTAGGAGGGGAAATCACAGCTGCAGGAAATACGAATTAAATTCACTTACCCTGTTAAAATGCAACAGAAATGCCTGGTTTTTCCCAGATGTTTTGGTCATAAAAATGAATGAGCTAAGTTATTTTAGACTAAACTAATGTAAAAGAAATGGGAAAAGAACAACTTAAAACACCAGGGCATGGTCAGGATTAGAGGCAGCCAGGTTTGCTGTGAGTGCATATTAGGTTAATGCTTTCCCGGGGCTGTGTCACCTGGTGAACAAGTGCTCCAGGCTCTGGAGTAAGATTGCTCTCTGGTATCCAGGATTCTGAGATATCTGTTTGATAATTCCTTAATTTGCCAAAGCTAATAAATAACATTACTAAGATATAAACCTACAATTTTATCTTAATTTAAACCTAATCTTAACCAAGAAGCTAACTTCTAAACACTGTATCAGTGGGGATATAACTTTGGTGTGCATCAAAATGACCTATCAATCTTAATAGCATGCAGACTTGTGCTAAGAACATTAACCTAAAATGCACATACAGCAAACCTGGCTGCCTCTAATCCTGACCACCGCCTGAAATTATAATTCAGTATGTCTGGAGTAGACCCTTAGATTCTTCCATCTGAACAAGCCCTCCAGATGATTCTGGTGCATCTAAGTCCAGGGAATCACTTTTTGAAACACTCTGAAATATATAACCTTTGTCTAAATAGGTCTTTATGGTTGAATGGGGTCAACCAATAATAACTAGAACATTCAGTCTTCAAGAAAAAGAAAAGCATAATTAGCTAAAATTGGTCCAATAGAGACCTGAACAATAATGAAGCTTATTTCTTAAACTGAGTTACCTCAGTTTAGCTCCATAGCATATGTCATTGCCTTACTTGTTGGTCCTGAGAACATGCAGGGAAATCTTTGGTGTTAAAGAGAGAAATCCAAGGAGGGAAAATGCAATAAGAGTAAATTTAGACTGGGACTTTACTAAACTTGGAACTTGAAAAGCATCAGACATAATCACATACATATTTATATTTGGAAAGCAATTATAAATAACATTCCATGTCTGCCCTGCCAAGACAATAATTTGGGAGAGTTATGATTGCTTTTGAAAACTAAAACCTGTGACTTCCTAGGTGAACAATGGTGAAAATACTTCACTGATGTTGAAACATTTTCTTATAATCTAGGCCTAATGTAACTTTATTCATTATATAAATACCCATGTTATTAAGCATCTGCCATGTGTCAGACAACGGAAATAGAGAAAAAGCAAAACCTGCCCTCAAGAAGTTGTCTTCTGATGGTGGAGACATCACATACTCTAGTGGCCTTTCTCAAATTTGACTAAGTGCTATGATAGAGGTGCTAAAAATGGTGACTGGAGTACAAATGCTTAGAGGTGACAATGAGGATGGAACAGTCAAGGAAATGTGTGGGAATCTGTATCGCATAAAAGCAGTTTCCCTCTGAAGGAGGTGAGGCAGACAGTGGGTAACATCATAAGGGGTGCTATGGCACACCTAAGTTTTGCCCAAAGAATAGCACAAAATTATCACAAGATTTTAAGCAAGAGAAAGGCATGATTAGAATTGATATATACAGAGATTTAGTTAGAGAGGATAGGGATCCTTGCATGATCAAATTAATTGCGGAAGCATTGTGAAGAGAAGACTTAAGAGGGGCAATGCTAGAGGCAGGGAGAAAGGCTTAAAAGGTCCCAGCAACAGTTCAGATAATAACTCAGGAGGGCCTGAACCAAGGAAGCCGGTTCTCCATGAGGTTCCCAGGAGACAGACTGGTGAGATAGTAAGGAGGTAAAATCTACAGCGGGAGAAGGGAGTAGGACAAATATATAATGCCTCAGATAACGTGATTTATGAAACTCCTCTTTTCCTTTATAGCACTCATTACAATTATAATTAAATAGTCTCTTATGTAATTATTTGTTTGATGTCTGTCTCTTTCATTAGAAGATCCCAAAGAGCATAAACTATGTTCTCTGATGTATCACTTTATCTCTAATACTCACCAGAGTATCTGGCACATGGTAGACATCCAACAAAAGACTATTGAAGAAACAAATGGAGTATATAAGTAAACATAGTTGAAAGATGGGATATAAGAACTATAAAGTGCAGACTAGAAGCTTAGTTTACAACCTTGGTTAAATGGGATATCTTTAAGAGGATCTACATCAAATAGGCAGTTGGATATGTGGTCTAGAGTTCAATGGAGAGATATGGGCTGGGGTTGTAGATATAGGAGTCACCACTATTGAAAAAAAGTGAAGGATGAAGTCACCTAGGAGCCATGCAGAATACAAGAACAACTTAGGAACACCAACATTTAGAGAGTGGTAAGAAGGGGATCCACAAAAACAAATCATAAAAAAAAACTACCAAAGGGAAGAGTATCAAGTATGGATTATTTTCATCAGTATCAAATGTTCCAGAATGGTGAAAAGCAATAAAGATGTAGAGGCATCTATTTGATTTGGCATGCAGGTGGCCACTGTAGCAATGGCTAGGATTTTTAGTGAAATAGT